>NC_000018.10:53634574-53935241 GCF_000001405.40 Homo sapiens | reverse complement strand
GGTTATAATGAGAGATTTAATGCATAGGTTGGCAGCAGTGCCAAGGGACTGGAAAACTCTACAGCTGTTGTTAGCTCCTGCTCAGCAAGCTGGATATGCTTCAGTCCAGAATCACCAACTGTCCTTTGCTACAAGTTATTTTGCAAATGGCTGCTCAAAGGGGCCTTGAAACTTGTGAGATCAGTCATGCCACTTTGGCTTCCTAGCTCAGTATGCTATTTTCTACCTCTTCTAGTTTTCCAGCCTGACCTATCTAGTATTCCAAATTGCTAATATGGCCTACTGTAAGAAGAAACACTTTGGATGTTTAGCCTTGATCTTCTGTCTTTCCTGTCTAGACAGAGAGAGAGACATCATGTCTGTACTGCGTTTTACCCAGAGGTATCTTGTTGACCATGCCATTGTCAGAGGCTGCTGCCTAATATGTTGCAGTCTTAGGAAGAGAGGAATGACTGTTAGGGAGTTGTAGTGGAAGAAAGCCTGAACTTTAGGGTTAGAGAGAGTGGGTTTAAATCCATACTACTTTATCACCTTCCCAGTCAGGATAACTTCACTCTTGGCATCTCAAATTTGTATACTTACTGCAGATATACTAAGATGCACCTCATAGGAACATATTAATAACAAAAGTAATCAGTAGGAGTGACACCTTTTATCTAATGAGTGCTTTGTGCCTTCAGTTCTGTCTTGCTAGGTCATCAAACCAGAGAGAGAAGAAAGACTCCTGTTTTTTTGAGACAAAAAACTAAAAGTTTCTCTGAGGTCAGGAGAAGTAAGGGTGACAAATCCAGAACTATCTCCACTACATTTTTCTTTAGATAAGGGGATTCATCCTTCTATTGTAGCTTAATCTACTTACAAAGAAGGATTATATAGGCTTTAATTTTTCCTGTTAAACTATAATTCCCTTCCAAAGGTTGCTGTGAATAAAAAAGCAAACAAATGAAATTTCCTTCTCATTATGGATTTCTTATTTGTAAATTTGAAAATTTACAGTCTTGTAATTATTTAATTTAACTGCCTGGTAGATAGGGTTTGTTTGCCGGTGGCCCAATATGATGTCTGGTGATTGAATTTTGCATATAGTATGCCAAACAAAACTTTAAGAATTTAGTCTATCAAAGGAATTGAGAGCTAAATTAAGTCAAGGTGGTTTCCATCCTGGAAGCATCTTATCAGTGCTGTTAGACTTCTAAAAAACTTGCTGTGTGGTTTTACTTTTAACTTATCCTCTCTAGACTTCAGTTTTCCAGTTGTAAAATGAGGAAATTAGGTAATGTTGAATTTCTTTTCCAGCTTTGACATTTTAAATTTATGAAACTTGGAGTTAGGTGAAACAGAATTCACAATTATTTAGGTACTATGATAATTCCTCTGATGTGTCAACTTCACTGGATTAGAGGATGCCCAGATATCTGGTTAAACATTATCTCTAGGTTTCTGAGTGTACCTGTGAAGATGTTTCTTTGAGATTAGCATTTGAGTCTGTGGACTCAGTAAAGTAAATCACACTCCTCAGTGTAGGCGGGCATCATCCAATCTATTGAGGGCCTAAATAGAACAGACAGCAGAGGAAGGAGTTTACCCTCTTTTCTTCCCACCCGCCTGTTTGAGCTGCAACATTGGTCTCCTCCTGCCCTTGGAGTGGGATTTATAATATTGGCTCCTTGGTTCTCAGGCATTCAGAATCAGACTGAATTAAACCATCAGCTTTCCTGGGTTTCCGGCTTGCAGAAGACAGGTCATAGGACTTCTCAGCCTTTATAATCTTAATAATAAATCTCCATGTATGTGTAGATATATCTATTCTATTGGTTCGGTTTCTCTGGAGACCCTGAGTAATACAGGTACTAAATGGGACTGTTACCAGACCAATTTCTCCAGAGAACTTTTGATTTTTGGAGATCCCACTGGCATCTCTTTGTTGATCAGCTGCCAGGTGTGTCATCCTGGATGTCATTGTGTCATTCTATGCTAGAATTCATTTCCTCAACAGTATTGATTGTCCACAGTCATGCCTGACTAAGCCCTGATAGCTGGGAATGAGGTTACCCCAAAACGTGAAGAGTGAATCTGATTGAGTAGCAATAAAGTATATTTAATGCAATGCATACGATTGCATTAGCTGATTGAAATCAGCTTCTTTTTTCATCACTTAATATTCTCATATCTTTTGTTTTACCTTCCAAAGAAAAACCCCCCTGTTGAAGTGTAGATGGATATTTTCCTTCTCTGCGTGATACAAGATATACTTTCAGGTGCTTTTAAAGCACAGAGCTCTCAGGAACACTTTCTCAAGGTTCTAGTCACAAGTTACAAAAATCTACTATGGATTTTTTTTAAGCAGCAAGGGGTTCATTAAAGTAAAACTGGGGAGCTGAAATAATTGTTGGGTTAGCTACAGAATCAGACTCAGGGCTATATGCCTGAGACAGTGGCCCCACATTGCTGGTCTTGTGAAGACCCCCCTAATGTCACTGCTGAGCACTGGTTCCTGCAGCTTGCACTGCTGATGGCAAGCTCTGAGGTACTGGCTGTAGCCACTGCAGGCCCTGGTACCTGGATGTGGTTGCCACCATTGCCTCTTCCTATTTTCAGAAAAGATTCTGCATGGTCACTTGTTTCTAATTAATGACCTGGAGCAAGTCTCTGCCTGGGGGAGCCTAGGTCATCTGCTCATGTCCTAACTTCAAAGGAGTCTGGAAAAGTGACATCTTGTCACTTCAGCTTCTGAAAGGGGAGGTGGGCTTTGTCTTCTATCAAGACTCATTAGGTACAACATTTTCCAAACCTGGGAAGGAACCAAGATGCTATAAAAATGACAGAATGTTCTGAATGCCCAGAAAAATGTTCAGAAAGAATGACACATACACACCTCAGTCTGTTTTGAGGGTACCTCCCATTCCATATCACGCCAGCAGCCACTTTAAATGAAGCAGGGGACCTTCATTGTACCATCACATTTTATCCCCTTGCAATGCAGTCATTGGAATGTCAGAAGTATGTTTTGAGAAGAAAATAATTTTCTATTTTGTCTATTTAAAAAATGTTAGGGAAGTCAAAATAAGCACCTACCTTTTACTTATAAAACTGGAATCCAAAGTGAACTAAGATGTATTCTTTGCATCATGACCTCAAAGATTGTATTCATTAAGGGGACATTTTGAATGATTAAGCAATTATATCCCTTAAAACTTGACAAGGAAAATTATTTTTTGTGCTTATGGGATTTGGGATCCCTGATAAAATATTATCACCGACACTATCCTTTGGCAAAATTGTGGAGCAGGGACAGTTTTAGGGCCATCATTTTCCATTTCCTCCATTGCTATGATAATTATTCTCAGGAAACGATTTCATAAAACCTAATTTATACTAGGCAGTCATTTATATAAATGACTGTTAAAGCCTAATGAGTACCTCTCCGTCTTTTATCTCTGATTCTGTCCTTAAAGGACCACCTGATGTTATGAGGACCCATTCTTGGATCTTGCCAGTTACGGCTGTGGGAAGTAGATTGTGTTGAGTAGGAAAGGAGAGGTAACATATGTAGATGCTTAAGGAAGTGAGCTCAGTATGTCAGTCAGAAAACACCTGTGATTTAAAAAAAATCCTTATTTCAACTATATTTCACAGTAATTTAATCTACATCTTAAAAGACTTTTGGGTACAGGGGTACATCTGCAGGTGTGTTAATACAGGCAAACTCATGACACGGGAGTTTGGTGTATAGACCATTTTATCACCCAGGTACTAAGCCTCATACCCAACAGTTATTTTTCCTGATCCTCTCCTTCCTCACACCCTCCTCTCTCAAGTAGTCCCCAGGGTCTGTTGTTCCCCTCTTTGTGCCCGTTGGTTCTCATTATTTAGCTCTCACTTACAGGTGAGAACTTGCAGTATTTGGCTTTCTGGTTCCAGTGTGAGTTTGCTAAGGATATTGGCCTCCAGCTCCATCCATGTTCCTTCAAAGGACATGATCTTGTTTGTTTATGGCTGCAGCCTATTCCACGGTGTATATGTACTACATTTCTTCATCCAGTCTACCACTGACGGGAGGATGAGTCCATGTGTTTGCTATGGTTTAATGTCCATTTTACAGATGAAGAAATCAAGTGTCAGTGAGATTCAAAAACTTGTTCAAGGCCACTGTGCTAGATTGAATAATGAATTCTTAAAGACGTCCATGTCTTAATCCCTAGAAACTATGAATATGTTACATTCCATGGCAAAGGGGAATTAAGGTTGCAGATGGAATGGAGGTCACTAATCAGCTGACCTTAAAAGGAGATTATCCTGGGTTATCTGGTTGGGTCCAATATAGTCGCAAGTGTCTCTTAATGCAGAAGAGGGAGGCAGAAGAGGTCAGAGTCAGAGGGAGATTTAAAGATGCTGTATGGCTTTAAAGATAGAGGAAGGAGCCATGGCCTCTGCACCAGAGAATGCAGGCAGCCTCTAGGATCTGGAAAAGGCAAGGAAATCGATTCATCCCTAGAACGTCCAGAAGGAGCTAAGCCTGCCAATAACTTCATTTTAGCCCAGTGAGATCCACTTTGGACTTCTGACCTCCAGAACTGAAAGATAGTAAACATGTGTTGTCTTAAGCCTCTAAATGTATGGTAATTTTTAGGTACAGGGCCTAAAATTTATAGAGGCCATAGGAAACTAATACAGCCATCCAACAAATGGCAGAGTCAAAATTCAAAGTCTAAATCCTGAAATTTTTCAGTGTGGTTCAAAGGCAAATAACTAAAGATACGGTAAGAAGAGGCTCTACTGTAGCTAAGAAGTCAGCACAAGAGGCCAAGAATAAAGCAGAAGGGATCTTAAGAGATAGAGAATGAAAATCATAATGAGATTTTTAGGACATTATTAGAAGGTAGTATTAAAGATATCATTTGGCTCAGAAACCCTGGAGTAACTGAACCTTGCTTTTGACCTCTTCCCAGACAGTGAACCAAGGCAAAACAAGTAGACATGTACCATAATCACAATGTAAGCTCCATGAGGGCAGGACTTCTGCTTTGTTCACCACTGTATCCCCCTCACCAACAATGTGTCTTGCAACAAAATGTGTATTGATGAATAAACGAGATGTGTTTTGGCCTCAAGCCTTAGGATCCAGTGAGTTCATCTGGATGACCTGGAGGATTCCTTGTTTTTTTTTTTTTCCAATGCTAGGAAAGCCCTAAGCCTCTTTACATCTTATTAGACCAGAAGGCCTGCTCTGCTTTCATCTTAAAGACCAAGCCTGAATTTCACATCTCATAACAGTGTTGATAGCTAACACTTAAATAGCATTTGATACATATTGGCTCAGGTTTAAGTGATTTACATATTTTATTTCATATTACACATTCACATATTCACAGCAATCATATGATTTAAGTTATACATTATGCCCATTCTACAGATGAGGAAAGTTTAGGCACAGAAAGTTTAGGAGCGCCACCCATACTCACACAGCTTGTTCATCGTGGAGCTGGCTTTGAACCAAGGTAGTCTGGCTCCAGATTTCATGCTCTTACCTGTTATCAGTAATGAAACAAAAGAGAGCTTGCTGGCCACTGGGCTTAGGTAGGTAAGAGTTCAGCTCTCATATGTTTCCTGGTATATTTTACCTGGCTGTGTGGAGGACAGAAATCAAGAATGTGGAGTGTGTGCAGGTGGCACCACTTAGAACTGTGCAAGGGATGTTCTCCCACCATTTTTAAAAAACAGGATCTTGCTCCGTCACCGAGGCTGAAGTGCAGTGGTGTGATCATGGTTTCCTGTAACCTCAACCTTCTGGGCTCATGCAATCCTCCTATCTCAGCCTCCTGAGTAGCTGGGACCACAGATGGGATGATGTCCAGCTAATTTTTAAATTTTTATTTTTATTTTTGTAGATACGGGGTCTTTCTATGTTGCCCAGAGTACTCTCAGACTGCTGGCCTCAAGTAAGCCACTGTGCCTGGCCTAGCTTCTACCACTTGGTCACTAGGTATACAGACCAGGAGTGGGGTAAGAATAGAGATGGGCTGTGGGTCACATCTTCTCTTGCCTGTAGTGTGTGTGTGTGTGTGTGTGTGTGTGTGTCAGGAGAGTAGTAATAGAATTACCCACAAAGGAGCTGAGGAAAAGGACAGAATGCTGGCTGTGGGAGGCTGGCTGGTGAGCAAGCTTTCCATGCCTAGGGCAGAATCTGCCCGCCTTTTAAATATTCTTGGCCCAGGAAAGCAAGAGAGAAGGAAAAGACCAAAACCTTAGGATCTTGACCTTTGGACATACTGTGAAAGCTCCAGTCATCCCATAAAAGTGTCTCCAAACTTGGCACTTGTTGGGGAATCAGATAAAATGTGTGAGGAAAGAGAGGGATCCATAGTTACCCTTCTCCTATGGCTAAACCATAGAAACCAGGCAGACCTTTATTTAAAGCTCTGGGGAAAGGGTGCAAATGAAGACCCCTCTCCTTTTCTTTTTTTTTTTTGTACCTTCTTGCCCCATCCTGCACTACACATGGATTCCTGCTTATGCCATGGGCTGTGCAGCTCCCAAGTCCTCCCTCTACTCTGACTTTTCTCAAAAAGTTACCCACTAGTCATTTGTCTGGTGGTCTTCTTGGCCTCAGAAGGATGAGCTGAGGAAGAGGTCTGTGCTGGCCCTAGAAGTAGTCTCCTTTGGTCACAGATTTCCTTTGTCTCAGGAATGGGAGTAGTTTCTGAGAGATTGACTTAGAAGGGGGACACGGGCACTAGGTGGGTGCTTCCCCTTACCTGTGTGGACCTGTCATTTTGTGGGGAGAGGCATGGCCACAGTAGGGCCAGAGCCTCCTAAAGTGATGCTTCCCAAATTTGCATACGCATACACATCACCTGGAGTTTTGTCTTAAAAAAAAAAAGATTCCTGGTCTTAACTCTAGACATTCTGATTCAGAATATATGACAAGTGCCCAGGTGCTGCTGATGTTGTTGGTGAACCACACTTACAGTCTAGGAACAAAGCTAGAACAGGAACCTTGGATGCCCATATCTAGTGGCTATACCACACAGAAATACACTGCACAGAAATTACACTAAAATATAGTCACAGAGTGCTCCTTCATCTAATGTCAGGATTCCAGCTATAATTTTAGCAAAGAATCTGGGGAAGCTGATGGATTGTTAGAAAAGATCCTTGGGGTAGAAACCCATCTGTAAGTACTGGGCAAAAGGCCTGTTGGAACCAGCAACCCAGAAAACCTGATGCTGAATTTCAAAGTAAAGGGACCATGGTGAGGAAACAGAATATGCTTCTGGTCACTGCTTGCATTGGAGAAGAAAATGAGGCAAGGCAGAGACTAAAGTTGACCTGACCTCAGTTTTGTGTAGGAGAAATGGAGACATCAAGAATAACACTAGGCCTGATATTTAGAGCTACTTCTATATTGTAGTAAAGAGATCTATGTTTAACAAAAGAAAATGGAATAAAGCATTAAATGTTAACTTCGAGGCTTTATCAAGATAAAAAGAGAAAGGTTTAGGAAAAGTTGAGATTAGGTGCAGTCCTAGATGATTGTCTTCTGTTTCCATATGGTTGGATCTAGTTTTTCTGAACACTTTATGATGTTGTCAAAAAGATTTCCTTGTTTGCCTAACAAGTGACATGTAACTAAAACTGCCACATGGAAGGACTTACATTGGCAGTTACATACTTTATTCTCTTAAGAAAATATTAAAAATAAGCAACTTCTTCTTCCCAAAGGACTTTCCACTTCAACTTTGGGTGAGATAGGTTTCCTAGGAAACAGATCTCATGGATAATTCTAGAGTTTAGTCACTATGTCCTGAAAATCAATCAATGGAGCTTTTCATAATATCAACTCTTCCATCCATTTCAAGCATTTGAAAGAAACACTTACTACTTGACTGCAACTTAGAAAGTCTTTGATTTTTAGGGATCTAGTCATAATTGTGAGGGAAGGATAACTATTTTTCAAGCTTCTTTTTTTAATTTTTTAAATTTTTTTAATTTTTATTTTTTTTTGACCAAGTTTCCCTCTGCTGCCCAAGCTGGAGTGCAGTGGTGCAATCTCGGCTCACTGCAAACTTCGCCTCCTGGGTTCAAGCAATTCTCCTGCCTCAGCCTCCCAAGTAGCTGGGATTATAGGCATGTGCCACCATGCATGGCTAATTTTTTTTTTTTTTTGTATTTTTAGTAGAGATGGGTTTTTGCCACGTTGGCCAGGCTGGTCTTGAACCCCTAACCTCAGGTGATCCACCTGCCTCGACCCCCAAAGTGTTGGGATTACAGGCATGAGCCACCACACTGGGCCTTTTCATGCTTTTTTGATAATACTAGATAGCACTTTGTAAAGCCTATTGATTCACTTTTGGGAGAAATTAAAACTATGATATCCCTGGATCTCTTACACTTTTAAAATTGTATTGTGATGTGTCTCTATAAAAAGATACATTTAAAAAGAATTTTGCTCTGAGATTACTTGGAGGATTTTGGATATCTCTTGAAGGGAGAGACAGTTCTCCTTCCTACCTGTGTCATCTTTTTAATTTTTAAAATGCACAAAACATAAATGTACACATTGAATTGTAAAATGAACATCTATGTTCCTGCCATAAGTCAACAGCATAACCAGAACCACAGAGCCCTGTATTCACCACCAGCAGTAGCCATTATGTTGACTCTCATGGTCTTCATTCCTTTTTTGTTTTTGGTCAGCATTATTAAGGTATTATTTAAATGCAATAATATTGGCCCATTTTAGGTATGCAATTCAGTGAGTTTTGACAAGTATACACATTTGAGCAACCAAACCACACACATGAGATAGAACATACTCTCCATTGCAAAATGTTCCCTTTTCCTAAAGGATGTTTTCACTACATACAGAATTCTGGCTTGACGTCTTTTCAGTTCTTGAAAAATATTGGGCCACTTTCTTCTGTCATCATGGTTTCTAATCAGAAATCCACTGTCATTTGAATTGCTTTTCCTCTGTCAGTGAGGTTTCACTTCTCCCTGGCTGCCTTCAAGATGTTTTTTTCTTATGATGGATCTGAATAGATATTTCTTTGAATTTATCCTCTTTGGGGTTCACTTAGCTAGCTGATTCTGTAGGTTTATGTCTTCTGCCAAATTCAGAAAGTTTTCAGCTATTATTTCTTTGATTGTGTTTTCAATCCTGCTCTTTTTCTTCTTTACTTTTGAACTTGGTGACACAAATGTTAGATTTTGTTAGGAAAGGTGCTTGGGGATACGTTCATTTATTTTCTAATCTATTTCTCTCTTTTTCAGATTGGATAAATATCTATGGTTCTATTTTCAAGTTCACTTATTCCTTCATCTGTGCCGTCAATTCGGCTGTTGAGCCCATCTATTGGGTTTTTTTGTTACTGTATTTTTCAGCTCTAAAATTTCCAGTTGGTTCTTCTTTACATATTGCATTGCTTGCTAAGATGATCTGTTTTTTCATTTGTTTCAAATGTGTTTGAAATTGCTCATTGAAGCATTTTTATGATGGGTAATTGAAGACCTTTGTCAGATAATTCTAAGATTGCTGTTATCTTGATGCTGGCATCTATCTTTTTGTTTTTTTGGATGAGATTTTTCTGGTTCTGGTATAACAAGTGATTTTCAATGAAAATCTGGACATTTGGAATACTATATTTTGAGACCCTGGATCTTATTTAAACCTTTTGTTTTACTTAGTTTCTCCTGACATTGCTCTGGAGGGGGGAAACTCCCTTATCAATTGCCAAAAGAAGGGTATTAAAATCTCCAGTTATAATTGTGGATTTATTTCTCCCTTTGTTTTTATACATTTTTACTTTGTATACCTTAAAGTTCTATTAAGTGCATACATGTTAAAGGTTGTTGTGTCCTCTTAAGATAGACTCCTTTATCCTTGCATAACAATCTTATGTGTCTCTGGCCATACTCTTTGTTCTGAAGTCTGCTATGTCTGTTACTAATAATGCCACCCCAGCTTTCTTTGATTAAGGTTTGTGTGCTATATCTTTTTCCAATTACTTGATTTTAACCTATCTGTGCCTTCATATTTAAAGGGTGTTTCTTGCAGGAAGCATATGTTTAGGTCTTACTTTTTTATCCAGTGATAAGGTCTGCCATGAAATTAGAGGAGATTAGAAGGTTCATTCTCTTTCACTTCATATTGTTTTTGTATATTATACACATATTTTAATATAAAAATGTATCATATTTAAACATGATATACTGCTATTATTATTTTATTCATCCAAAATACATTTGATTTATCCATATATTTACTATACTCATTGCTTTCAATTCTTCTAGAATCTTGGAGGCTGCATCTGTTTTCTTGTTTTTGTTCTTTTCTTTCAGCCTGGAGTAGAAATTAATCCAAGAATGGTCATTAACTCATCATTGGTTTTAGATGTGTCTGCAAGTGGCAAATTAGCTGAGATATTGTTTGTCTGACAGTGTCTTCATTTTGTCTCCATTATGGATTAAATTTTTCATAGAAAATTGGTAGTTTTCCTTCGGTACCTTATAGGTATTTCTCACCGCTTTCCGGTTTTCATTATTGCTGTTAAGAATTCAACTATTTGTAATTCTTTTTTTTAATTGCTAAACATTTTTTATTTTTCAAAAGTTTTAAGTTCAGAGGTACATGTGCAGGTTTTTACATAGGTAAATCTGTGTCATGGGTATTTGTGCAGATTATTTCATCACCCAGGTATTAAGCCTAGTACTCATTAGTTATTTTTCCTGATTCTCTCTCCACTGCCACCCTCCACACGCCAACAGGCCCCAGTGTGTGTGGTTTCCCTCTATATGTCCATGTGTTCTCATCATTTAGCTCCCACTGTCTCTGATTCTTGTTCCAATGAGGGTACTTTTTTATTCTGATTGACTTAATATTTTTTGTCTTTAATTTTTCTGTAGTTTCACTGTTATAGGATAAGGGATTGTTGGACTTCTTGAATCACTGGATTGATGTAATTTATCAGTCTAGAGAAATTCTCAGTAATCATTTCTTCAAATATTGCCCCCTTCTTGCCTCTTATTCTGCAACCTCAATTAAACTATGGGTATATCTTTTCATTACATCCCCTATATCTTCACCATCTCTTAGAATTTTACTTTTTTTTTTTAGTCTTTATGGCTTTTATCATGGATAGTTTCCTTTGACCTATCTTAAAGTTCACTAGTATTCTTTTTTGTGTGTCTGATCTGATGTTAATCCCATCTAGTGTGTTGTTTATTTTGGCTGTTGACCCTTTCCATTCTGAAAATTCAAACAGATTCTTTTGCACCTCTGCGATGTTACTTATATAGCTTCCCAGTTTTTGACATTTTTAGGTTTGTACTTTTATATCCCTGAGCCTAGCAAGCACAGCAGTGTTTATAGTTTGAATCAGATGATTCCAATCTTTAGATTTTCAGCAGATTTATTTTGTCTCTTGTTTCTGTTGATGCTGGTTTATCTGGTTTTGTCCAGAGGAGAGGAATCCTATGATTGTTTCCTTGACATATATTTGAGAAATTATTAATGTAAACTTAATACCTAGAGTGTTGACTTTCTTCAGAGAGAAGTTTTCATTGCCTCTGCTGGGGATCTGAGGTTTATGGTCCAGGAACAAGGTAGTCTTTCTGTGGGTCGCCTAGGCAATCCTCTGAATCTTCTAGATCTGTAATTCCATATCAGATGGAGACTCTGAGGGAACTAATCCCACACAAAAGATTTTGTGTTAGGATTTCCTCCTTGGCAGGAGTTGAACTGTGATACATTTGTTCTTCCCTAGAGTCAGTCAACTGGCTTACCTTTCAGCTGCCTTCCAAAGCTTCAAGGCACAAGCAAGAGACCCTCAAGTTAGGAAAAGAGGCTCCAGCAGTGATACACATGAGAATATTAGGACTTCAGCACTGTCTCCTTTACCTCTCACCATTTGACAAATATCATTCCATGTATTACCTTCTCTTTCTGCATGGGCATCTGTCCTGGGCCAGAAATGGTTCAGGCTTTCCTCTTTGAGCATTAATCTTCTCCTGTTTTAAATTAGTCATTTTATCTCTACCTATTAGATATCTGATGTTTTTCAGCATAGCCTTTTGAATTTTACCTAGTTTTAAAAAAATGCTTCATTTTTTAATTGTAATAAAATACACATGAAATTTACTATCCTAACAACTTTTAAGTGTACATGTAGTAGTGTTAAATACATTTATATTGTTATGCAATCAATCTCATCAATCTCCAGAACTCTTTTTAGTCTTTTTTTTTTTTTTTTTTTTTTTTAAAGAGATGGGAGCTCACTATGTTACCAAGGCCAGATTCAAACTGCTGGGCTCAAGCGATCCTTCTGCTTCAGCCTCCCGAGGACCTGGGTCTATAAGATCATGCCACTGCACCTTTTAGTCTTATGAAACTGAAATTCTACACCTATAAAGAACAAGTTTTCTCTTTCCATTCTCCCCAGCCCCTGGCAACGATTCAGCTCTGTCTCTATGATTGACCACACTAGGTACCTCATCTATGTGGAATCATGCAGTATTTGTCTTTTTGCAATTGGTTTATTTCACTTAGCATAATGTCCCAAAGGTTTATCCATGCTGGAGCATGTGTCAGAAATTCTCTCCTCATGGCTGAATAATATTCCATTGCATATATATACCATCTTTTGTTTATCCATTTACCCATAAATGGGGACTTGAGTTGCTTCTGTGTTTTGGCTATGATGAGTAATGCTGCCATAAACAAGGGTTTACAAATATCTGTGGAGACCCTCCTTTCAATCATTTCAGGTATACAACCAGACGTGGAATTTTCAGGTATACAACCAGAAGTGAAATAGGTTAATTTTTTATTTTTTTGAAAAACTGCCACAGAAGCTGTACTAACAGTGTACAAGGACCCTTATTTTTTTTTTTAGTAGGATGGTTGAATTTAGTCGCCTAGTCAGCTGTCACTAGAAACCATTATAGAATTGATATTTTTCCAAATGACACAAAAGTTACTAATATAAGAATGATGTTGGTTCAATTGGCTTACGAAAGAACAAGGGCACTTTTGAATTTTTTCAGATGTTTTCTAAAGACATAGAATCTTATACTCAAAGGACAAAAAGGACTCCAGTCTTCATTTATTTTAACTTCTCCATTTTAAAGATGAGAAAACAAATGTCATGAAGAAAGTGATGAGAAAAAGAAGCTTTATGAAGGAGATTAGGCTTTACGTGGTTACCAATTCTCTTTATTACAAGTAATGCAAGTGAAGTTGGCTTAGAGTTTCCATTTGCTGGCTCTGTTTGTTGGTCTTGCAAGTCCAAGGGAACATAACCCATAATCAAAACACTCTGACTGTGCTAATGTGATAAAAGGTTATTGAAGTTTGTGGACAAAGCCAAGCCTGAGATGAAATATTTCCACCTCCAACACAAGCTCCAAAACAAAGTCTCTATCCTTTAAAATGTTTTGATACACTTTTGTACATCAAATTTTGTATATACTTATGTAGATAAAGTCTTAAAAAGAGACAATTCTACCTTGATGTTGTTCCTTTCTAATGGATACTTTAGTCAACTTTCCAACATGTTTAGACACTGAATCTTAAAATCAGGAAGACATTATTCCTGTCTATTCTAGATGGGATCCAAGTCGCATTTAATTCACACATCTAATATTACAGATAAAGGAATTAAGATCCTGTGAGGCCTGAAAGCATTACAGTGGAGTTATGCTTTGAATGATCTGGCTTTGAATTATCTATATTTTATAATCCTTATTTTATTCTTAAATTTTCTGGAGCTTAGTGTGTGTTTGCTATCTGGAACTTTTCAGTATGTTCTTCCCATGGGTAAAAGCAGCAACAATAACATTTGGAAAGCTCTCCTTCTACTCCATTTTTCCCCCCTAAACAAAATGCTTCCTTTTCTTCACTTTTTCAAAACAGCACTATTATTAAAGAACACATTTTTGATCACATTCTCATGCCATTTACAAATGGAAAAGATCCCATTACTATCTGGTGTAGTTTCTCACAAACAGACTGTGTGAATAAAAGTCATTTTATAGAACTGCCAAGTTCTGATGTTGCTGCACGTGTGCGCACACACACACTGACACGCACGCACAAGCGTGCACTGACGTGCCCACATGCACACACACATGCACCCACATACACACACACCCACACCCATGCACATACACATACATGCACGCATAAACCACATGCACACACATATATACATGCCCCACATGCCCCACACACCCACACATACACACACACACACACGCACGCACACCACCCACACACCAACATGTATACACACATGCACATATGCACACACACGCATACACTCACACGTGCACACACATACACGCACACACACATATATATGTGCACACGTGCACCCACACCCGTGCACGCACCTGCGCATGCCCCCCCACACACTCACCACCATGCACCCGCCCCCATGCACACACACACATACATGCACATACACGCACATACACATCCCCAGCCCGCCACACCACACCCACATGCATACACGCATACGCGTGCACACACATACAGGTGCACACATATACACATACATGCACACATGTGCACCCACACCCCTGCACACACCCGCCCCCATGCACACACACATACACGCACACACACATACACACACACATACACACACATCCCCAGTCCCCCCCCACACCACACACATACACGCACACACATTCACACACATGCGCACACCCAGAGGCACACCCACACCCATGCACACATGCATGCACACACACATGCAGACACATGCACATACACATACGTACACACGTACACACATACCCATACACACACGTGCACACACACGTGTTTATATATGTGATTAAAAGAACCCAAAACTTGAGGAAAGCTTAACATTTGTATCTTTCTATGAGAAACGGGAGATAGATTACTCTAATAACTTCACCCTGATAAAGCTTCCATATGTATTTACAAAGCTGTAATATGAAGGGGGAATTTCTACGCAACATGAAAGCAGCATGGTGCATTTATATGCAGTGTAATGTGGTGCCACAGTTGCTCTGAGGCTCAGGGGAGAGCTACAGGCAGCTACTACCTGTTCAGGGCACTTAGCCAGAGCACTTGAATTTCACACGGGTCCTAGGAAGTCAACTTTCAACTGAGACATCAAAGTGTATCACCTGCTTCTTATGGGGGTCAGCGCATATACTGCCCAGCTGACTCCCAGCAGAACCTAACAACTACATGCCATTTTAAGAGCCAGACAGAGAAGGCATTTGCTGGAATAAATAGAAATGCTCCACAGTATGCTATCCTTACGGGAAATAGAAAAATGCAGTGCTTCCCAATTCCCTTTCGCATCTTGACTCACATAGAACTTTAAAATTATTTTAATGACACACCAGGTTGCATTTGGCCAGAGGTGATTGGCCTCATTCCCTGCTGGTCACCTCAAAAGCTAAGATCAATATTTCAGGTATTACTGCACCTCCTTCCCAGTCTACCAGAGTTCCACGGCTCTGGTATGGTCTATTGAATAGGTCCTATCAGAGTTAAAATTGTGTGCCAGGTGTTCTCCTAGGAGCTTTATGTGTATTAACTCTTAATTTTCACAAAATCTGCGACAGACAAGATTATCATTCCTATTTTATATAATATGTTAACGGAGATAGAAACGTTAAAAAAAACTTGCTCAAATTGCTTCTAAGTGGGATAGTTGGAATTTGAACTAAGACAGAGTTCAAATCCCAGCTACACCAGTTTTTGTGTTCTTAGCCACCATTCTGGATCCAGAAGTGCAAGCAATTGAAAAAGACCACAGTAAATCTAATTCGGGTCTCATCAGTCACAAGGGGCCTTATACTTGTGAAGCCCAACAGTACTCGGGTATTTGTGTGCCTCGTGGTAAACTACACATCTGAACTCATTGTTCAGAGTAGATGTCAGGTCTCTGTGGAAAAAGAATGCCTCAGGGGAGATATCCAACAAGATAGGAATGACAAAGTAAGGACTGGAAAGAGAAAAGAAAGATTAACCAATTTAGGAAAAGTTTACTGTAAAATCTGTTGCCACTGAAATAGGTTTAAAAATTTAAAACATAATTTCTAGAAATTGGACACTTTCTACCAGGTAGGATGCTGATATTTGTGATAGCTGCTCACTTGAGTCTGCCCAGCACAGGACAGCCTCTTCTATTCCACCATCCTGGTTTAAATCAGTCAAAGCTGAGACTGAAAATAACAAAACAGACTTCTGGCTTCTACTCTGGCAGGTAAGAAGCTTAGAAATTGCCACTGCGTCCTAACAATAAGAGAAAAGCTGAACAAGTGGAAAAATCAGCAGCCCTTCTTAGATCTGTCAGAGAAAGGAGGTCCCAGGACAAACTGCTGTCTTCAACATTGGATAGACAGGAAGATACAGGGAATCACAATTCAACGGAGCAAATAACATGACAGGAACCCTTGACAAGGTAGGGAAATCACAACTGTATCTGAATTGCTGGATGCTCAAAGCGAACAACTCAGCGTTAAAAACCATGGGGACCCTGTCATGGGGGAGCCCCACACTTTTATGAGTTTTACCCCTAGAGGTACCAGGTTCTCTCAGCGGATATTAGAGAAAAATCCTCTCCTCCTTCTGACAAGAGGAGAGAAAAAAGGAATCATTTTGAAAAATACTAGAACATTCAATTCTTCTTAGCAAAGCCTTTTCTCAGGAGAAGCTATTTTACATGAGCCTAACCTACCTGAAGAAGAAATACCTGCAGCTCTCTCTAACTGTTCTGTCCTACCTAAGGACAAAAAACAAACAAACAAACAAACAAAAAAAAACTAAGAAGCTCCAGTGAAGTTCACAGACTCACGAAAAGAATGAAAACTATTATAAAACTATGGAATGCTTCTTTCTTTCTCATACCTTACCACTACATTACCACGTTACCATGAGCCTGTTTACTGCAGTTCTTTCTACCTAGTACATAATGTTCATCTTTTAACAAAAGTCATAAGGCATACTAAAGGCAAAAACACAGTTTGAAGAGCCTCAAAAAGAATCAACTAGGGTCAGATATGAAAGGAATGTTGGAATTATCAGGCCAGGAATTTTAAAAAGAACCTAAGTGCTTTCTTGAGAAGTAGAAAACATGCAAGAACAGATGGACAATGTAAGCAGAGAAATGAAAATTCTAAGAATGGAAAAGAAATACTAGAAATCAATAGCACTGTAACAGAAATGAAGAATGCCTTTGACTGGCTTATTATTAGACTGGACACAGCTGAGGAAGGAATCACTGAGCTCAGGGATATGGCAATAAACTTCAAACACTAAAAAGCAGAGTGAGAAAAGACTAACAAAACCCGGAACAGAATGTCTAAGAACTGTGGGACAACTAGAAATGGTGTAACATGTGTAATGGAAAGGAAGAGAAACAATATTTGAAGCAATGACAACTGAGGATTTCCCCAAATTAGCGTCGAACACTAAACTTCAGATCCAGGAGATGCAGAGAACACCAAGTAGGATGAATGCCAGAACAAAACATATAGGCATTTTATCTTCGAACTATAGAGAATCGAAGATCAAAAACCTTGAAAGAAGCCAGAGGAAAAAACCCCTGCCCTTAAAGGAGGAAAATAAGAATTACATCTGATTTCTCCTCAGAAACCATTTGTATTAGTCTGTTTTCACACTGCTAATAAAGACATACCTGAGACTGGGTAATTTATAAAGGAAAGGAGTTATAATGGACTCACAGTTCCACGTGGCTGGGAAGGCCTCACAACCATGGTGGAAGGCAAAGGAAGATCAAAGTCATGTCATACTTGGCGGCAGGCAAGAGAATGTGTGTAGGGGAACTCTCCTTTATAGAACTATTTTATAAATGAGACTTACTCACTATCACAAGAACAGCATGGAAAAGACCCAGACCCATGGTTCAGTTACCTCCTACTGGGTCTCTCCCATGACGTGGGAATTATGAGAGCTATGATTCAAGAAGATTTGGGTGGGAACACAGCCAAACCATATCACCATTCAAGCAAGAAGAGAGTGGCATGAAGTACTTAAAGTGTTGAGAGAAGGCCAGGCATGGTGGCTCAGGTCTGTAACCCCAGCACTTTGGAAAGCCAAGGCAGGTGGATTGCTTGAACTCAGAAGTTCGAGACCAGCCTGGACAACAGGATGAAACCACGTCGCTACTTAAAAAAAAAAAAAAAAAAAAAATTAGCCATGTTTGGCTGCATGTGTCTGTAGTCTCCAGCTACTTGAGGGGCTGAGGCAAGAGGATTGCTTGAACCTAGAAGGTGAAGGCTGCAGTGAGCTGAGATGGTGCCACTGCACTCCAGCCTGGCTGACAAAGTGAGACTCTGTCTCTAAAAAAAAAAAAAAAAAAAAAAAAAAAAAAAATTGAGAGAAAAGATTCCCACCAATGAGAATTCTGTACCCTGCAAAGTTAGGCTTCAAAAGTAAAGTAAAAATATTTTCTAAAACACAAATCAAAGGAAATTTGTTGGCAGTAGATATGCTTTGCAAAAAATGCTAACAGAGGCCGGGCGTGGTGGCTCATGCCTGTAATCCCAGCACTTTGGGAGGCCGAGGCGGGCGGATCATGAGGTCAGGAGATCGAGACCATCTTGGCTAACACGGTGAAACCCTGTCTCTACTGAAAATACAAAAAATTAGCCAGGCGAGGTGGCGGGCACCTGTAGTCCCAGCTACTCAGGAGGCTGAGGCAGGAGAATGGCGAGAACCCCGGGGAGCGGAGCCTGCAGTGAGCCGAGATCGTGACGCTGCACTCCAGCCTGGGCGACAGCGAGACTCCGTCTCAAAAAAAAAAAAAAAAAAAAAAAGCTGACAAATTCTTCAGACAGAAGAAAATGATAAAGGTCAGACACTTAGATCTACATAAAGTAAGGAAGAGTATCAATGGATCTTAAACTATTAAGAACAATTATACACTGACAAATTGGATAACTTAGAAGCAATGTATTAATTCTCTGGCATACTTTAAGATTGAATCATGAAGAAACAGACAATCTGAACAGACCAATAATGAGTAAGAAGATTGAATCAGTAACAAAAATCTCCCATCAAAGAAAAGCCCAGGACCTGATGGTTTTACTGTGGAATTCTACCAAACATTTAAATAACTGATAATAATTCTACTCGAACAATTCTAGTTGAACTATTCCAAACTTCCAAACTCTTCTTACTAGGACAGCATTGCCTTGATACCAAAGATAGACAAGGACATGATAAAACAAAAAAGACTACAGGCAAATATCTCTGATGAACATAAATACAAAAATCTTCAACAAAATACTAGCAAACCAAATTTAATGGCATATTAAAAAGCTCATTTGCTGTGATCAAGTGGGATTTATCTCAGGGATGCAAAGATTGTTCAACAAAATCAATAACAGAATGATGCACAAGAAACTTATCATTTCAGTGGTTGCAGAAAAACAGTGAGACAAAATTCAATATCCTTTCATGATAAACTCTCAACAAGTTGGGTATGTATAGAAGAAATGGTCTTCAACATAATAAAAGCCACATGTGATAAGCCCACAGCTAACATGCCACTTCTATTCAACGTAGTATTGGAAGTCCTAGCCAGAGTAATTAGTTAAGAGAAATAAATAAAATATATCCATATTGGAAAGGAAGAAGTTATATTTTCCTTGTTTGTAGAGGACATGATCTTATACACAAAAAAACCCCAAAGACTCTACCAAAAACTGTTAGAACCTAAATAAATTCAGTAAACTTGCAGGATACAAAATCAACATATAAAAATCAATAGGGTTTTATACATTAACAGTGAACTATCTAAAAAAGAAATCACGAAAATCATCAAATGTACAATAGAATACAAAAATACTTAGAAATCCATTTAACCAAAGAGGTGAAAGATTTGTACAATGAAAAGTATAAAACACTGATAAAAGAAATTGAAGACACAAATAAATGGAAAGATATCTCGTGTTAATGATAATGGAAGAATTAATGTTGCAAAAATGTCCATACCCAAAGTGATCTATCGATTGAATGTAATCCTTATCAAGATACCAGTGACATTCATTACAGAAATAGGAAAAACAATGCTAAAATTTGTATGGAACCACAAAAGACCCTGAATAGCCAAAGCAATTTTGAATGATAAGAACAAAGCTGGAGGCATCACAGTATCTGATTTCATGATATACTATAAAGCTATCACAACAAAAACAACATGGCACCGGCATAAAAATAGACATGCAGATCAATGGAACAGAATAGAGAGCCCAGAAATTATTCCACACGCTTATACCCAACTGATTTTTTGACAAAGATGCCAAGAACACACAATGGAGAAAAGACAGCCTCTTTGATATATGATGTTAGGAAAACTGGATAGTCACATGCAAAAGATTGAAATTAGATTCTTATCGCATGCAAACATCAACTCTAAATGGATTAAAGACTTAAGTGCAAGACCTGAAACTATGCAACTACTAAAAGAAAATATGGGGAAAAACCTTTATGACATTGGTCTAGGCAATGATTTTTTGAATATGCCCCCAAAAACACAGACTACAAAAGCTAAAATAGACAAATGGGATTATATCAAACTACAAATCTGCACAGCAAAAGCTCAACACCACTAATCATCAGGGAAATGCAAATTAAAACCACAGTGAGATTTCACCTGATACCTATTGGGATATCTCTAATCCAAAACAACAACAAAACAAAAAACCCCAAAAGACAAGTGTTGGTGAGGATGTAGAAAAAAGGAACGCACACACACTTCTGGTGAGAATGTAAATTAGTATAGCCATTATGGAAAACAGTATGATGGTTCCCTCTAAAACTAAAACTAGAACTGTCATATGACACAGCAATCCTACTAGTGAATACATATTCAAAGAAAACAAAATCAGTATTTTATTTTTTTGAGACAGGTTCTCTGTTGCCCAGGCTGGAGTGCAGTGGCATGATCAGGGCTCACTGCAGGCTCAACTTCCTGGGCTCAAGTGATTCTCCTATCTCAGTACCCCAAGTAGCTGGGACTACAGGTGTGCGCCACCATGCCTGGCTAATTTTTTTGAATTTTAGTAAAGGCAAGCTCTTTCTATGTTGCCCAAGCTGGTCTTGAGCTCCTGAGCTCAAACAGTCCTCCCACCTCAGCCTCCCAAAGTGCTGGGATCACAGGTAAAAGCCACTATGCCTGACTGAAGTCAGTATTTTGTAGAGATAACTGCACTTCCCATGTTTATTGCAGAATTACTCACAATAGCCAAGACATGAAATCAATAAAAGTGTCCATCAATGGATGAATGGGTAAAGATGTGGTACAGATACACAATGGGATATTACCCAGCCATATAAACAGATCCTATCCATGACAACATAGGCGAACCTAGACAACATTTTGTTAAAGTGACATAAGCCAGGGACAGAAAGGCAAATACTGCATGATATCACTTATATGTGCAAGCTGAAATAGTCGATCTCATAGAAGTAGACAGTAGCATGATGTTTACCAGAGGCTAGGAGGTGATTGGAGGGTGATGTCGGGGGATGAAGTTGGGGAGATGTTGGTCAAGCGATGCAAAATTTCAGTTAGAAATAAGTTCAAGGGATCTGCTGGTGATACAACACAGTTAACAATGTATTCTTGGAAAAACGCTAAGGGGTGAATGTACATTGTTCTCACTACAAAAAAAAACTGTGAGGTCATGCACATGTTAATTAGATAGATGTACTTATTTCACAATGTATATATACTTCCAAACGTCATGTTGTACATGAGAAATATATACAATTTGATCTTTCAATTAACAAAATTAAAAATTAAAAAACTGAAGAGCATTGAGAATAAGTGAAAGCAAAATAAAAACTTTAACAGATAACTGTTCAGAATAGCAACAATGTATTCAATTATGAATGCTTGTGTACACATAGGCTTATGTACGAGTGAAGCAAATGACAGTGATACAGGGGACAGGAACGAGGAATTAGAAATATTTTGTTATTATAAGGTACTTGCAGTATCTATGAAGCAGCATTTTGTTACTGAAAGTAGATTTAGATTAGCTGTAAGTGTAAAGATGCTCCTTGACTTATGATGGGGTCATGTCTCAGTAAACCGATCATAAATGGAAAATTTCATAAGTAAAAAATCCATTTAATACACCTAGCCTACTGAACATCATAGCTTAGCCTAGTCTACCTTAAATATCCTCAGAACGCTTACATTAGCCTGTAGTTGGGCAAAATTAACACAAAGCCTAATTTATAATAAAATGCTGAATAGCTCATGTAATTAATGAAGTTATACAATTTCAGTACATACTGAATATATGTATTTACTATTGTAAAATTGAAAAACTAAGTCAAATGCATATCATCTGTATATTACAAACTTTAGGGCAACCACTAGAAGAGTAAAAAGTATTGATATGCCAAGAAAGGACAGAAAATTAAAACATAAAATACTCAAAACTGCAGAAAGCAGAAAAAGTATAGAAGACAAAAGTAGAAATGAAGAACAAGGAATAGAATACCATAAAAAATACGGTAGATATTATTCCAACTATATCAATAATCATTTTCAATGTCAATAATCTAAATACACAATTAAAAGAGGTTGTCAGTGGATCAAAAAACAAGACCCAACTATATGTTCTCTACAAGAAATCCACTTTATATTTAAAAACACGTATAGATTAAAAGTAAAGGGATAGAGAAAGATATACCAACCTAATACTAATCAAAGAAAGCAGGAGTGTACTATATTAATTTCAGATAGAGCAGACTTCAAAGCAAAAAATGTTATCAGAAAGAAAAAAGGGTATTACATAATCACAAAAGGGTCAATACTCCGAGAAAGACACAACAATCCTTAATGTGTGTGTACCTGACAACAGAGTGTCAAAATACACTGGGCAAAAACTGATAGAATTGTAAGAAGAAAGAAAATGAATCCACTATTATACTTGGCTACTTTAATACCTCTCTATCAGAAATAGACTGAGGCACTATTCATAGCCACTCTTGGGTCTGGACTAGAGTATTTCTTGCCAATCTAAACTCCTTTGTGCTGTGCCAATGGCTCCAGAGTTTAGGGTAACAGGTAAAATATTTCTTTCTGGCCGGGCGCGGTGGCTCATGCCTGTAATCCCAGCACTTTGGGAGGCCGAGGCGGGTGGATCACGAGGTCAGCAGATCAAGACCATCCTGGCTAACATGGTGAAACCCTGTCTCTACTAAAAAATACAAAAAATTAGCTGGGCGTGGTGCGGGTGCCTATAGTCCCAGCTACTCGGAAACCTGAGGCAGGAGAATGGCGTGAACCCGGGAGGTGGAGCTTGCAGTGAGCCAAGATCATGCCACTGCACTCCAGCCTGGGCGAGAAAGCGAGACTCCATCTCAAAAAAAAAAAATATATATATATATATATTTATATTTTATATATACATATTTATATTTTATAAATATATATAAATAATATATAATATGTATTCTATTTGCCATATTAGAAAAAATGCATCTATATTGCTTCATAGTTTGAATTGTGTTTCCAAAAATCTCGACTTTTCACATTTCAACCTGATTTCTAAATAGCACCTTTTATTGTAGCCTTATCCTTTTATTTAAGTTAGAATAAAGGTTATGGGAAAATCTACACTGGATACATTCCTTCTAGACCTCCTCGTACTATCAAGCCCATGATTGTGTTTTCCAATTAGGGTTTCATCAGCCAGCTTTCTCTTGACTCTACTGCATAGCCAACTATCTCTAAATCTCAGTGTCTTACAGACAAAGTTTTATTTCCAGCTTTCCTTGTGTGTGGGTGAGCTCTGGCCCTGCTATGCAGGCCTGCTCATTCTGGCACTCGTGCTGAAGGAGCCATTCTTCCTCCTACAGGAAGAGCAACAGAAAAATGATAGAACAAAACCTGCCTCCCTCATTGACTGTATTGTTAGTCCTTAGCCCTGCTCTCCCCTTTGTGCTCATTTCCATGAAAACTATTTAGAACCTAAAACAATTTAACTGATTCATCTTTGAACTTTAGCAGGTTTTCTCAAACTTAGATTCATAAATGCCTGTGTTCCTTTCCTTTTTCTAAACTATATATGTGTATATATAATTTTGCTGTTATCCTGATTTTATTACCAGTTTTTTTGTTGACTGTTGTCCCTCCCAAAGGGGGAGGAAACAAATGCTGCTGTGCCTTTGATGTAGTAAAGAGTAAAAGTATTGAACAGCCTTCTTACAGATGGCACAGAACATTTTATCTTGTTTCTAGGGTGCTAAATTTTGGTTTCATTAAGTTCCTTTTTTTATTTCTGTACTATCTTTAGTAACTCAGAAACCCCCTATAGAAATGCTCTATAGAAATAAATTAATATAAACATAGTAGATAACATCCATTTTCAGCCATAATCTTAGCAATTGGCTTTGCTTTAAATGCTCATTTAAAAATATATTATTACTTTTTATTCAGCCACAGACACTTAGAAAAAGATTTTGATTGTAGGTTCTTTACCCAAACCACGTGAGCTTCACAATCCCCTCAGGATAAAAGCAAGAGAATTTCAAGTTGTGACAAACCTGCTACAGCCCTTTTGTGTGGCACCTCATAGGAGAGTATCAGTGAAGAATGTGCAAGGCATCTGTGATAAGTATAAGTACATAGAAATGTTCTTCTCCAAGGGTCTTGTCTAGGGTGTTTGCAGAGTCTTAGTAGGGTTACACACTTTCTACCTTCGTATTATCTTCACCTTTCATTGATTATCTTTTAAAAAGTTCTCCTGAATTCACTCTTAGCCTAATAAACAGCTTGGCTGCTGGTGTGTGCACAGTTGCTCTCTGAAGGTTTTTTTTTGGGAAAGCAACAATTTTCAATGCTCTGCAGGATCAAAACAAACACAAAACTTTAGGATATGAAACACTTTAGTTATATAATTTAGACACTAAATTTATATATAGCCTATGAATTTTATGTTTATAGATACATGTATATGCATATAAAAATATATATGTATATGTAATATCTATTTTAAGTTTTGTGACTCAAATAGATTTATAGAATGTAATTCAGGGTGATCTGTTCTAACGCATTCCTCTCAATCTAAACCAGGACATGAAAGTAATGCTGAGTTCTAATAGATTTTTG
The DNA here is from genome assembly GCF_000001405.40 of Homo sapiens. Classification (NCBI taxonomy): domain Eukaryota; kingdom Metazoa; phylum Chordata; class Mammalia; order Primates; family Hominidae; genus Homo; species Homo sapiens. The sequence continues at coordinate 53,910,099 of NC_000018.10, read as the reverse complement.
GATAACAAGTATAGAGTTTACCCCATTCTGTTTTAACCAAGGTTCTATTCTGGTAGTCTATTTTAAAGTCAATATATTACCATAAATAATTATTTGTGAAACTTTATTTTGTAAATTACATCGTGTGTGATTTCAAACGCATTTTGGCTGGACAAAAAGCTGATATTCTGATTGGTAGGAATATGTAAGTGGCCAATACTGCCACCTAGGGGTCATCTATCTGATCTGGGTGGGACAACTACCTACCTCAGATCTTATCCTGGGAAACCCCGGGGGGGCATTGAAACAAGTTCCCAGTAACATCCTCTGATTTGAAGAGATGCAAGACGCTAGTTGGGAACACTACTAAGATTTGGTTCTAAGATACTACTAACACTACTAAGATTGGTTCTTATCTATTAAGATAAGGTTCAAGATTTGGAACATCCAAATCTTGATTCCTTATCCTCTGACTGCACAGAATGCCCTGTTTTTACCTGATACATTGTTCTTAACTGTTCAAAATGAAGAGCAGAAGCACCACAGGGTACTGAAATCTTTTAAATGCTGACAAATAACATAGCCATGATTCTGTAACAATTAGAAGCCCATAATCAGAATTTTAAGCAAATTAGGACATTTCGTTACTTAAACATCATTTTTCCCTCTTCTTTCCAGATAATGGATGGAGAAAAAAATAGTTGCATCAACATATATCAACATCATAACTGTAATGTATCTGATGGTTGTGACAAATTATAGAATAAGAATGCAAATAATTTATATGCAATGGTAAATTTAATGTGTCAACTTGACTGGGCCACGGGGTGCCCAGACATTTTGTCAAACATTATTCTAGGTATGTATATGGGGCTGTTTCTGGATGAGATTAACAACTGAATCTCAGTAGACTGGGCAAAGCAGATTGCCTTCCCTCATGTGTGTGGGCTTCATCCAGTCAATTGGATACCTCAATAAGGCTAAGTGGGAACTCTGCCTGCCTGACTACCTTAAGCTGAGATATTGGTGATTTCCTGTCTTTGGACTCAAACTGAAAAATTAGCTCTTCCTGTGTCCCAAGCCTGTTATCTTTCAGACTGGAACTTGCACTATCAGCTCTTTTGGTTCTCAGGCTTTCATACTCAGACTGGAACTGTACCATTGGCTCTTCTGGGTGTCCAGCTTGCTGATTGTAGATCTTGGATCATTTCAGCCTCCATAATTGTATGAGCTAATTCCTTTCGATAAATCTCTCTCATATTTATACATCCTATTGGTTCTGTTTCTCTGGGAGACCCTTGCTAATACATCATACTACTCAGAATCTCTTTTCTCTATTTATCTGTGTCTCTGTCTCTATCTCTTCTATGTCTTTGACATATATAAACTGTTCTCCACTATACTGCCTCTCAGCTGCTTGTTCTTTGTCTGGCTAATACTATACATTAATTCAGATTTCAGCTTTGATATCACTCCTTGATAACTGTCTCAGGCAACTCATCTTGGATAGGAATGGGTGCCCCTGCTAGGGGTTCCCATGGTCTCGTCTGTCTTGGTGCTTATCCCACTTCATTGTAATTCCCAGGTTATTTATATGTATTCTTTCATTAGATTATTAGCTCCTTCAGACCAGACAACAACTTGCTTACTGTTTTATCTCACAAATCCAGCATAGTGCTTGACATATACTCACTGCTTAACATGCATTTGTTCAATGAATGAATGAACAAATGAATGAAGAATCTGGTTTCCATGAAGACCAACCTATTTCTTTTATCCTATTATCAAATTAGTGGTGCAGATGGCATAGTTTACTTTAGGAATGCAAGCTAACTAATTTATAATCAGTTGATTTTATCCAAGTAGGTTTTGAGATGATTGAAAATATTATCTGTTATTTTTGCCCATTGACATGAATGTGTATCATTTTCATGAAAACCTGAAAGACAGTGTACTAATATTTGCAATTACTACTCCTATCTGTTCTCAAAACCATATGCCTTGATATCACAGTTATGGTCTCTCCCATCTGTTCAGCAGGCAAGGCTATTTCTGATGAAGGGAGAACAAAATCATTTCTGGGGGCTGAGCCTGCCCTGAACCTAAATTAGGTGGACTAGAATGTCCTGTTCAGGGACAAGCACCTGACAATGTTGATGATGGAATTGTGGCAGCTGTGAGTCACCTCCCATTTCCCATACCATGTCATATTTATTCCTATAATCCAGCTTGTTTCTCGAAGACTAGGTTCATGTTTAATTTGAAAACTATTTTATTCATTTAGCTACAACTACTTCCTCAAGAGAAAAAGAAGTTTGATGAAACTACATTGTTTTTTGCTTTTTAATTAGCAAATTGGTAAATGTGAGAAAATATTGTTCCATCAGTGTGATTCCCCAAGATGTGACCCAAAACATTTGTCCACGAATGAGGACAGAGGTAATGATCAGGAATGTTGAATCACTTAAGCAGTAACAGTAAATCACTTTGCCCCAATGATTCAATGATATTAAAGGCTTGAGGGAGTTAGTAAAATAAAAATGCTACCTGGGACAAGAAGTATTTGATAAAAGAAGAGGATGTGGTTGCTCATACAGCTTGGCTGAGTAGTTTATTAACAGTGAGGCTTTGTTGTCACATATAGTGCCCTCCTGCAATGGAACGTTGAATGTGTAGGTTTTGATTGAGTGGAGAAGGTGCAGTGAAGGAGGCTAATAGTTCCTGGGGTTCTGAGACCTGGGTGCTTAGAAAGGGTATGAAGGTTAGAGACTGCCATTAAAGGCAGATGTGGGAACCAGGGTGTTAAATAGAGAATGAATGAGGAACTCCTGTTCATGCCACTATGCCTTGGGATTGGATAGGCCAACTCATGTGCTTAAAATAATATCCTACAGCCCAATATGATGAAGTTTCAGTCTCTTCGCAACAAGCACAAGGATCCCTGTAAGCATTTCTATTATTTTAAACCATCTCTGGACATCATCATTAAAATGGAAAAAAAGAAAACACTGACCTTTTGCATTGCACCCTATATAAGCTTGAAGCAAAAATAATGTTTTGGATTTTCTTTTTCTTATTAGATTCCAGTTTTGTGAAAATGCTTTTCAGTTTTTTGTATAGGGTTGCTTTTTCTGAAGCATGTAGGCTGGAATTAAAGATAGTGATATCTCACAGCCTACTTCTCCATAGTTACAAAAGTGTGACCGCACAGAAAAGATATGCAGGCATTCTGAAGTGCACAGATTCTATCCTGTCAAAGTTCCAACCTTTCCCAAGGCTCCTGCCAAAAAAATGCATCTAAGCAGGCAGGGTGGACCCGCATGCCAGCCATGTGCTGTCACTAGTCCAGTTTAATCAGACATCTCCCTACTAATTTACATTTGGAGATTTTTTTAACTCATTAAATAAATTTGAATAAAAACCTGACTTGCCAATTCTTCCATTCTGTGTTTCTGCATAACTCCTTGAAGTAAAACATAGCTTTGGAAACAAAAAGTATTTAAGTTTGAATATTTACAAGTGTGTATGTATGTGTTTTTAATGGATTATTTTAGTTAACCTGGTTTCCTGTCATTTCTATTCTCCCGAGCCAGGGCTGTGGGTATGTTTGGGGGGTGTATGTGGTAGGTGCTAGTTGTGTGTTTTCAAGTGATGATATCAGGATATGAAATGGGCCAGGAAAATGAGCTTCCTAAGAGACTGCTTGGAGAAATTTGTGTCCATTGGCCCTGGGCAAAATGGTGGACTCAAGTCTGATCTACACTTGAGTTTCTAAAAGGGTTGACGGCTATGGCAGGAGCACAAGGAGAGCTCGCTGCCTTGGGAGTGGACCTCCTGCTCATGGGCTTTGCTGGGCTAGATGTGGTCCCTAGTGTACAGAGCCTCCTGTTGAGGTGAGCAGACAACAGCAGAACAGATTTGGAAGGTCTGGGTAGAGTCAGGAACGAGCTGGAATACAGATGCAACCCCCATCCCCAAGGGAACTTTGGGTATTAGAACTCCAGCAGCGGGGGTGTGAGAAGCACCTCTGAAGATTCCCCATGAGGACTCTACCACTGTAGGGTCAACAAGTTTAGCAAATAAAAATCAAGGATACTCAGTAAAATTTGAGTTTCAGATTAATAACAAATACTTCTTAGTTATATGAAAATGTTATTTGTTGTTTTTCTGAAGTTCAAATTTAACTGGTTGTTTTGCATTTTATCTGGCAACTCTACCAATCAGAGAAGGTCGGATTTCAACATTGGCCAGGCCAGTGGATCACAATGCTAGCTCTAGATGGTGTTTTTTTCGAGGAAGAAATTTACTGCCATGTTCCTGCCCTTTCGATCTGGAGGGGTCAGAAACTGAATTAGAAAGAAAAGTGAGGCAGAAGTACAAAGAAAAATGGAAGCAGCCAATCCCCAATCCCCTCCCCCTCCAACCCATCCTAAAGCAGCACATTTGAGCTGGGAGAGGGGGGCAATTCTGAGTAGTAGTGACTGCTTCCCTGTGATAGGTTGATTGATTACAGACTTGAGGATCTTCCATTTCTGACGAAAAACAGAAATGTCATGAGACTGCTTGAATTTTTACCACAGGGCCAGGGTGAGACTGGGACCCCATAGGACACTTTTAATGGGACCACAGGAGAAAAAAAAGGTTCGTGATTATTATCTCATGAGTCCTTCATGCTGATCACAGTGGTTGCATCATAATTGTAATTTTTGATGCCCATGGAATGGATGTTAAATGTACCATTTTTACAGTTGCAGGGCTTCTGAGCACTGGAGCCCCAAAAGTAAGAATGATAGTAACAAGCTTTACCACGTTCTGAAAAGAGGGGCAGCATATGGGAGGTGGCCACAAGCCATCATCCGCCTCCAGGACATATCGAATACCAAGGAGCGATTGAGAGGCAGAGTGAAGATTCCTCTGAAAAGCATCGTGACAGTGCTGTTTCTGCTTCCCTGGCCTCAGAGCAAGAGAGAGGTCTTCCAGAGACCCACCCACGGGGTGTTTCTGTGTGGGGAAAGGGGAGACTAACATCTCCCTGACTAGCTTCCTTTCGGACTGCATGTTGCTGAGCTGCGGAAACCCAGGGGTCTAGTGCCACCATGGGTCCAGAGCAAGGTGTGCTGAGTCCTTCAGAAAAATGTAAGAGGCATCTTCTGGAGTTTTGGGGATAAGTGCGGGGTATGAGGATCGGTGTCTGACCCTCACATTTAAAAGACGTCATGGTGAAGGGCTGGCCGGATCTGTTCCTGCTGACAATATAAGAGGGTACTCCGAGAGAGTAGTCTGTTTCCAGAGTTTGGCAGAACAAGAGTATTGAGCTCCCCTCTGGGCAAGAATAGACTAGATTTGGAAGGACATTCACAAATAACCTGCCCAAGAGGTGTGCCTTCCTCGGGGGGACCTGGTAACCCCAGCAGAAAAGGCTGTGAGTGCTGTACCATTGGACACGAGGGCTGAGGGGACGCCACGGGGAAGCAGCTTAAGAGGACATCATTTGGCTCAGGAAGAGGGACCACAGGGGTCCCTAATGGAAAGGGACTCTGAGAGCCCATAAGCCAAAGAATTTACATCTAGGCACCAGTCACAATGAGGTCATCAAGACAAGATTATAGTCAAGATAGTTCTTGTCTCCTTCTTTCCCAACTCTAGAGGAACGTGGAAGCATGGGCCAGACATCTGAGAGAGAAGCCTCTAGTTGATCCCAGCCCCCAATCTTTAGAATCATCCCATTTGGGGTTGCCCTGAATGGTTCCACATAGAAGAAATTAATAAGCAAAATAAGTGACTGTTATGATAAACATTTAAATTTGGAGTGATTTGTTACATAGCAATCCCCAGAGTAGGAAGCCAGAAGCAGCAGAGAGTGAGACTGAACAGGGAGAGAAAGGAACCAGTCCCTGTACTGCTGCAGGCTTCCCAGCTCTGAGCCATGTGTAAGGGGAGGCTGTTAAGATGTGAGATGAGTATTTTGATTGAAATCCCACTGTTCTTTTTAACACCTGAAAGGATACTGCTCCAAATCCCAAAAGTGACAGGAGAAGCCACTGCATTGACTTGACAGACCTTCTTCAGTGGTTGAGAAAGATCTGGTGTACTTACTTGAAAAAGCAGTGGTAAAAAAAGAAGAGTGATTTTTTTTTTGTGCCCTACTAAAACCATCTGCTCAATAAACTGGACACATGAGGCTGGGTGCAGTGGCTCACGTCTATAATCCCAGCACTTGGGGAGGCTGAGACAGGAGGATCACTTGAGCTCAGAAGTTTAAGACCAGCCTGGGCAGTATAGTGAGACCCCATCTCTACAAAATATAAAAAGATTACCCAGGGCTGGTGGCCATGCACCTGTAGTCCCAGCTACCTAGGAGGCTGAGGCAGGAGGATGGTTTGTGCCCAGGAGTTCAAGGCTGTAGTGAGCTATGATCACTCCACTGCACTCTTGGCTGGGTGACAGAGGAATAATTTGTCTCAACAAACAGGACACATGTTTATCTTAAACAATCTAGCTGTCTTAAGCAAAGGCAAAGAAACAGATTGGGGAATTTTTTTGGGGGGGACTTTCTATTCAGATGTGTAACTAAGAACTAAGACAATCATATTTTCTAGGTTTAAAAAAGAAGTGATTCATCAAAGACCAATACCATGTATTCTGGGGGTAAAATGTTACTGTGGGATAAACGTGGGAAAGACATTCTGATCGCTTTCTCTTTCAAAGTGATTAAAAAGGCAGCTCCTTGGCTGAGGTCTTATTAGAAGTGACTGACAAAACTCTGTTGAAGTTGAGATTATTTAGCATGAGCAGGGTGACTTTCTGCTTTCTACTAAATATTTATAATAAGTAGCTGTAATATGAAAATAAATGATATTATTTTTCTCAATGCAGTAGCATATTTATGGGAATCAGACATAATTGATGTTACATTTTAATTGAGTCTTAATTCTGCATTATATTTGAAGAGTGCAGGGTGAAGTTTCTTTCACTATATTTTCTCAGTTCTTTACAGCAAGTTTACAAGACAGGCAGAGCAGAAATCATCATACTTACTTGAAAGATGCAGAAATGGAGGATCAGGGTGAGTTAAGTGATTTGTACAATTTCATACAGCTGAGAAATAGTGGGATTTGGACAAGATCATTTGCCTTTTGATCAGGTTAATGTTCTTTCTCTCATGTCATATGGTTACAGGGTATCTCTAAATAGAAGATTATGTGATAAACTGGGGAAGTTATCTGAATATTTAAAGAACAAACCATCATGTTTTTACTACCTATTTCTAACACCTAAATTATCTCTATGATATTATAATTTGGGCTTTGAGAACAATAAGGGACTTTAAAGGTTATAAAAGACAATTCCCTTATTTAATGAATAAATTAGTAAATGACATTTAAAGAGCGCTGTTATATGACAGGTTGTGGGTACAAAGAATAACAAGCCAAGGTCACTACCCTTCGAAAGCTGGTGGAGCACAGAGGAGGAGCTCTTAATATGGTTGGGGCCAAGGTGACTTCTTGGCAGACAGGACTCTTGAATTTTCAGTGATGAGTTTGGGTGAGCTAGCGGAGGACAGGTGGGAAGGGCATCCCAGGTGGAGAGAACTGTGAAGGCTAATATCCAGAGCCCAGAGTGATTAAAGAACTTTCCAAAGATCATACATTTATGATGCATCAAGACCTGAATTTATCCTGGCTTTCCAGGTTAAATAATATAACTCTTCTTCAATTCACTTTGAAAATGTACAAATAATTACATTCATATCAAAACTGTCTCTGCAGATATTATAAGGATGTCCATTAGAGGCCTGTTCTTTAATATTATGCTGAAAGTTGTAGCAAGTATAGTAAGACTAGATTAAAAAAAATAACCAGTACAGGGGAATCCTATCAAACAAGTATTTAAATTGCATGAATTTGGCCAGGCGCGGTGGCTCATGCCTGTAATCCCAGCACTTTGGGAGGCTGAGGCAGGTGGATCATGGGTCAGGAGTTCAAGACCAGCCTGGCCAAGATGGTGAAACCCTGTCTCTACTAAAAACTACAGAAAAATTAGCTGGGCATGGTGGCAGGCATCTGTAATCCCAGATACTTGGGAGGCTAAGGCAGGAGAATCGCTTGAACCTGGGTGGCAGAGGTTGCAGTGAGCCGAGATTGTACCACTGCCCTCCAGGCTGGGCGACAGAGTGAGACTCCATCTCAAAAAACAAACAAACCATGAATTCAGTTGCATATGCTCAATGAAGAGAGAGAGAGAATAACAATTGAAATATTATCTATTTCATCCAGTGCTAAGTGTATGGATTGGGAAACAGAACTCACTGTTTTTCCAGTTTCATTTACTGCATTCCTACTAAAGCAAGAACATCCTCCCTACTGACTGTGATTCTAGAGTTTAAAGATATATACTGTCTAAATAGTGGAACCACACAGCTTATGTGGGCTTTGATGCATGGGAAGAAAATTATTTTCAAAATTACTTTTGAATATATGTAATTAAATATTACTCTTTTGAATATATGTAATACATATGAGATACTTTTACAGTATCTTAGGAAGAAAGCAAGTTTGAGATGAATATATAGGGTGACTTTCAATATATTCAACATGGTCAGACCTTTCTTCAGTGTTGGAACTATTGTCACTTCCAAATGAAACAATTATCTTGCTTATAGTGGCCAGTTGTGAAATTCATCTGGACAAAAATGGTTTAGAATGGTTAAGAAAATATTTACAAAGAATGATAACATGGGAATACTTGCATGGCTTGATATAGAAGAGTCATGCCAATAAATGGAATAAAGACAAATATATACAAATATTTACATATAAAAATTGCCATTTTAAATAAGTGTAATAGATTTTTCAAAAAAAATGATATAACTAAACGTGAAAATAGTGAATTATTTTGATCAGCTAAAAAAAACCTAATAGGCATGATCACATCAAAATTTAAAACTTCCTATTGAAATGAACTAAGAAAAATATTTGCAACATACATGAGAACCATAGGGGTGTGTAGGATATTTATTAGTTGATTTGTGTGGCTGTCCACATTTCCTTCTTTGAAAATGAATTAAATAGGCAGGGGGCATCTGAACTTCTACCATACCCCTACTCTTGGCACCCCACTTCAGAACTCTATAGTTATGTCTGATTGGACAAGGGATGTGAACGTAGTTCCAAGCAGGACGATCCAGGAGTCAAGCTCTCAACCTCACACATTGGAACATGGAAACATAGATATGTAGCTGGCTATAGCACCTCCAAGAACATTCACACTTCAATTCCTTTTAGAATGAGGCTCAGAGTTGGCTTCATAGAAACCCCAAGCCTTGTGGACATAAAATCTCATGAATATACAAACAGTCTTATCAAGCGAACTAGTCTATGGAAAGAAGAAAGGAACAGATATGAAAGGAGAAACAGAAGAGGCCAATGGCCTCAGAGTGAGCAGAAATACCTGCTTGCCAACTTTCTAGGTCTTGGGAGGACATGTTCCACCTTCTAGTTTTGGGTTCCATTGGGTTCCCCTTTTCCTAGCGATAAATTCCCTGATTCCTGAAATAGATTAAAGAGGTTTCTGTTCTCAACAACTACATGACCCCTATGACATACAGCTAATAAATAAAATGTTTCTTTATGTGAATAATATTTTAATTTTAAAATGGGCAAAAGGCATGAACAGCAATTTTTTTTCCAAGAAAAGCAAGTGGCCAATAAACATTTTGAAAAAATTTAACTTCACTAGGATGAAAACATAGAGTTATTAAAACAATGTGATACTGGGTTTTGGCCTGTAAAGTTAACCAAAACTTATTTTTAAGGCTTAAGGTTGAAGAGTAGGAAAAAATAGGTGTTCATGTACTACTTGGAAGAGTATATACTGGCCACACTTTTCTAGAAATAAGTCTTATCTACTATCTGATAGAGCCAGTCTACTTCTAGACACTAAGACTAAGCACTGATTAAGTTACAAGGATATAGGTATAAAAATATAGAACTTTTATAGAATTTTTATGATTAAAAATATATACACACATATCTGTACTTTCTTTTTAAATAGTAATTAGTGATATCATGGGTGTATTAGTCTGTTTTCACACTGCTATAAAGAACTACCTGAGACAGGGTAATTTATGGAGGAAAAAGGTTTAATTGATTCATAGTTCCCCATGGCTGGGAAGGCCTCAGGAAACTTAGTCATGATGGGAGGCAAAAGGGAAGCAGGCATTTTCTTCACAAGGCAGCAGGAAAGAGAGATTGAAGGGGGAAGTGCCACACTTTGAAACCATCAGCTCTCATGAGCACTCACTCACTATCACAAGAACAGCAAAGGAGGAATCCACCCCCATGATTCAGTCATCTCCCACCATGCCCCTCCTCCAACACGTGGGGATTATTACAATTCGAGATGAGATTTGGGTGGGGACACAGAGCCAAACCATATCAGTGGGTGATTGTGCAAAGGTAGGAAAAATTCAAAATATAAGAAAGCAAAAATAGATAAAAATGTAATTGTACCATATATATTTCTTCTCCTGATATCTAAGCCTGGAAATAGGTCAGGTTATTGAAGTGGCCATCTAGCAGTTAAGTCTAAGGATCTTTTTTCTGCAGTGTTAACCTGATCTTGATCCTTCAGCTCTGTGTGGCACAATGACCAAGTTCTTGGCTGCTATGCCCCACCCCTTTTCTAGATTTCTTCTAAATTTCAAATTTTTTTTATTCTCCTGAAAACCAACTCTTTCTCTGCCATTAAAAATATATTTCTTTTGCACAAGCGATCATCTTTTTATCCTCCTTGTCTCTTTTGTTAAATAGCTACCTTTATAATTTTTTTTCTGATTCTCTCTTCTCTCATCAGTTCTAGGCTCAATCCCCATTGAACTTTATCCTCTTCATTGGACATGTTGTGATTTCAGTCTCCTTGGGAACTTTCATGTCTGGCTTCTCTTCCTGGACCCCTTTCCTACTCTTCTTCCTTTTTCATCCTTAACCTGACTGTGGAAGATTATTGCAATAATGGTAAGTCAAGCCTGTTTTTATACTCTTTTGCAATATAACACCACTGTTCCTCCCATTAACAAATGATATCCTTATCTTCAGCCCCTTGAATCTTGGCTGGTCTTGTAGTTGGTCCTAACCTATAGAGTGTGGTGGAAATTGTGCGAGCTGTACAGCCTAGGACTTAGAGGATTGCAAACTCTGTTCTCAGTTTCTTGAAACATTCAGGCTACCATGCTGTGAAGAAGGCCCATCTGACCTTCTGGAGAATGTGTGGCCATAGGGAGAACTGAGGCCAAGCCAGTAGCCGGTATCAATTGCCAGATACTTCAGTGAGGCCATCTGCTTTCTTTTTTTTTTTTTTTTTTTGAGGGTGGGGGTCTTATTCTGTTTCCCAGGCTGGAGTGTAGTGGTACAATCTTGGCTCACTGCAACCTCAGCCTCCCAGGCTTGAGCAATCCTCCCACCTCAGCCTCCCTAGGACCTGGGACCACAAGTGTGTGCCACCATGCCTGGCTAATTTTTTGTAGAGACAGGGTTTTTCCGTATTTCCCAGGCTGGTCTCAAACTCCTGGGCTCAAGTAATCTGCACACCTCAGCCTCCCAAAGTGCTGGGATTACAGGCATGAGCCACCAAACCTGGCTGGCCAGCTGCTTTTATATTAAACAGTAAAGCATCTTTCAGCTTCACTGGGGAGACTGGGTTTCCACCGTTACACGTGTGATCCCAGGATAGACCAGCAGAAGGACTGCTGAGATTGCCAATCCACTACAAAATAAATCACAGTTGTTGTGAGTCACAGAATTTTGGGATGGCTCCTTAGGGAGAAATAGGTAATTGATATAATCACTCTATTCAGGGCAAGCATCCTGGAGTATTATACTCCATTCCCCAACTTCTGACTCCCTGTCCCCTCCATCCCCTATAATCTGTTGTTAATTCATTTTGCTTCTTGATATTTCAACAAATCTTAAACTATATAGTTATTGCATGTTTACTGGTCTGTGTCCTGACTAAAAGAAGCCCCAGGAAAGATAAAAATCTCTATCCTATTCACTGTTGTGTCCCTAACACCTGGTAGGATACCTAACAGATAACAGACACTCGAAAAGGGTTTTGTTTGTTTTTGAAATTCATAAGCATATACACTTGAATCATAATTTGTAACCTGCTTTTATATTAAACAGTGGAGCATGAACATAACTCTGAGGCAATCAGTAGTCTTCTGCAACATTATTTTTAAAAGGCTATGCCTTTGTTGGGATGTATCATAATTCATTAAAACTTATACCCTATTTTTGACATGTAAGTTGTTATCAATTCTTCACTGTTATAAAAAATACCACCATGAACATCTTGTAAACAAATCTTTGTACACGATCTTAATTATTTTCTTACAATAAATTACTAAAAGTGAAATTGCCTTGTCAAAGGTTGTATGAAATATTCGTAGCCTGTTTGATTATTATAAAAGAAGGAAAAAAATTAGATGAGCAGAAAGAAAATACACATTGCCAGAAATACTGGTAATTTCATTGATTTATTCATATATTCTTTTTCTAAAATAAACATAAGCTACTTAATGAATTTTTTTAATGTTAAAAAACCCTTTTCTTGTCACTTGTGTTTTCTTTTCTGGCAGAGAAGCAGAAGTATTTGAGAGTGAACTTTGGTTTAAAGCCTATAAGGGGCACACTGAAAGCATTTAATGAATTGCTCAAAAATCAAGCTGACATTAGATATATTAGAGTTTTTTTCTTAGTACAAAAGGATCTTAAATTTACTTTCAGATGGAATTCTATATTTTAGGATTAATTATAATTGTTTGAGAAGTATGCTATAAACTGGAGTAGGTATCATCCTGCTGGAATATGCAGTTAGAATTTCTGCACTGTGGATCTCAATGAAATACACTTGGCCCTATCACCATTTATTTATTTCAACAATAGCTCTTCTATACATATTATAAGATAATAGGCGTTAATATTTAACACAACAAATAGAGGTTTAATAGATGTCATAGATTTTGAGGCAGAAAGGTACACAAGGAGAATTTTCTTTTTTCTTTTCTTTTTTTATCAGAAAAGAAAAGAACTTAAAATAATCCAACTGATTTAGCCCTGTTACGTTGTTTTGTTTCTAGGATAAAGAAACTACTGAGGCAGTCCCAAACCAGCTTTGAGAATTTACTGGCAAACTAGTTAGGCTGAGTTCAGTAAAAGAAAACATTCCATCAAAAGTAAAAGCAACCTTTCAATTTATATGATACAATCTTATAGCTTTACTGTTTCTCCCCACACTTTTTTACTTTTTAAGTCAATTAACCAGGTGATGAGAATAAACCCACATGGGGAATGTTGCCACAGACCAGTTGTGTTTTACAACCTAACCCGTTCAGTTCTACCCTTTGCTAAATTTTGTTTTTGGTGAAATTTTCAATGATGCAATCTCAGTCAGTTCATAATTGTCTAATGCCTCGCAATTGACTGTGGAGGATAGTCAGAAATTGTATTTGAAGTTTCCTGTAAAAATTGAGGTGAAAAGGAATGTAACACATGAAAATTACAAAAAACAACTTTCCTTTCCTATGAAAATACTCCAATTGGATGATGATTTTGAGTCATTTTGTAAGAACAATGGTGTTCTGGTTTCATACTTTCTGACTTGGAATGAGTTTTCCACTAAAATATAAAATATCCGAAAAGGACTTTATGTCAAGTTTCAAGACAATGCTAATTTGTTACATGCACTTTTGTTCTTTTAATTATTTGGCTTAATTTTTATTAATTGAAAACATAATGAGCACAGTAAACTTCTTTTTAAACATGAAAGGATAGAAGGTAAAAAAAATTCATTCTATTCCTTCTAATTCCTCTCCTCCAGGTATTCAGTGTTAGGTGTTTCTTGTTTACTGAGATATTCTATGCACATATAAGTGTATATGCCTATTCAATCTTCCCCTCTCTTTCCCCTCTCTCTCTTCCTCTTTCTGCCTCTTTCTCTTACCCTCCTTCCTTTGTTCTTCACAAATAGAAACATTTTATACACATTTTTCTACATATTTTTTCCACTTACATCTTGGGAGATTGTTTTCTATCAATATCTGGAGAACAGACTTATTATTTTTCCTTAACCAAGCTTGATTTATTACCCTGTATAATCCTACATATATTCTTTTTTTTTGTTTTGTGTTTAAAGAACATTGTACGTTCCTATGTACTATTTTAACAATTAAAATGCTACAAAAAGGATGTGAATGAATAATCTTGCCCCTGTTCCTATTTATCCATCACCTCCTGAAGGTCAGACTCACATTGAACCCTTGTGTACCCTTCCCCAATATTTCTTTATGTAAATGGAAGCAAACACTAATCAACTATTTTTCTTTCATTCTTATATAAAAGATAGCATGTCACATAAATCAGAGCCCCAGCAGGAAACAGAATTCAACTAAGATAGTTCTACTGAGTAGATTTAATGAAATGAATTTTTATAGAGGTTAGCAGTATTAAGGAAATAGAAAGCTGAGACACCCAGAGACTAGTTAGAAAATTTACTTTCCCTAGACCTGGGAGGGGGTCCGGTAAAGGGGATTAGATAGTTACCAGAGCCATGGGACAGCTGGAGTCATGGAGGAAGGCTGCCTCCAAGGCAGGGGTTGTAGTTGTTGTTAGATGAAATCATTGCCAGATATTTGGCAGTACGGTGGAGAGATGTGGAAAAGAAATACTCCGACTTGCCTCTTTTCCCACACACCTGCATATGACCCCCCATTTACCAAACCCACTGGAAGTGAGATGGCAAGCAAGCCCTGTTGATGCAATTCAGATCCGTCATGCTTTCAGCACAGAGAGCAAGACACGGAAGGGTTGGGGGTGGGCAGTGAATTATCAATCTGGTTAGAGAAAAATGGAGAATAGCCAGATACACACTGTATGCACTATTCTGAACGCTGCTCATTCCCATTTCTTACAGCTTAAAGATCTTTCTATGTCAGGACTAAAGGAGCTTTCTCATTCCTTTTGTCCACTGCAGATTATTCCATCTTTATTTAACATAATTTATTCATGCTGCCTAATTACCACAAACACTTAGATTTTTGCTAATCTTTTGGAATGTTGTGGTGGAAAACCTCCTGCACACATTATTTTGTTTATGTTTAGCCATCTCTGAAGGATACCTTCTCAGAGTGTGACTGTGGAGTCTAGTTTTGGTAGCTGTTGCCAGATTCCCCTCCCACAGGGATTGTATCACAGCATAGTATATGACTGCCTTTTTTTCCACAGCCTCACAGATAGTGTGTTGTTGATCTTTGAAGTGTTTGCTAAAATGATGTGATAATGTAATCTTGAAATTTTTTTTTGGCATTTCTCTATTCTGAATAAAATTGAGCATCTTCTTGTACATTTAAGCAACAATGTGTTTCTCTTCCTATGAACTGTCTGGTTTTGTGATTTGCTCATTTTCCCAGCAGATAGTAATTTTCTTTCTGATTTGAGAAGTTCTTTATCAACTAAGGACATTAGTCCTAGGTGGTATTAGTTGAAGATATTTTATCTCAAGTGTTATTATTTTAACTTTGCTTCTCTTATTTATTATTATTCTTTTTTAGATGGAGTCTTGCTCTTTTGCCTAGGCTGGAGTGCAGTAGCATGGTCTTGGCTCACTGCAACCTCCACCTCCTGGATTCAAGCGATTCTCCTGCCTCAGCCTCCCAAGTAGCTGACATTACAGGTGCCTGCCACCACCCTTGGCTAATTTTTTATATTTTTAGTAGAGATGGGGGTTTCACCATGTTGGCCAGGCTGGTCTCGAACTCCTGACCTCATGATCCACTCGCCTCGGCCTCCCAAAGCACTCGGATCACAGGTGTGAGCCCCACCGCACCCGGCTGCTTCTCTTGTTTAAAATGCAGGTTTATTTCTTGTTTTTATTTTTAGCATCACATTTATCAACTTTTTGTGGCTTCTAGATTTTTGAATCATACTTAAAAGGCTTCCTCTACAAGGTTATATATGAATCTGCTCTAGCTTTTTGCCAAGTTTTTTTTTTTAAATTCCATTAATTTATAGCTTTAATCTATTTATAGTTTATCTTTCTCGCCTCCTTTCTCAGCCCTGATTGTTCTTTCAAAGCAACTTATTTGTTCCAAGACCCTATATTAGATAACCTATGTTTTCCTGATGGATTTGAGATGCCACTTTAATCTTTACTAATTCTTTTATTCTAAAAAACCTATTTCTGGACCTTCCTACCGGTACCACTGGTTTATCCACTCATAGACCAGAACCACACTGTTTTAGTTATTTAATGAAGGGTTCACTATATGTTTCAGAAGATGATAAGGCAGGTCTCACATCCTTGCTCTTCTTTTTTCACAATTTCCTTGGCTGTCCTTAATTTCTATGAGAATTTAATAATCTCTTTTCTGTTTTTTTTTTTTTTCAGAAAAAAACAAAACCCAGCTTTGTGGCATATATATAGGGATGATGTTAAATTTATTAATGAGCTTATGAGACGTGGACATTTTGATTTTTTATAGATTGGGGGTGGTGAATTAAAATTCCCAGTGACAAGTTGTTATTTCTTATTGTAGCTTCTGTGATGTCTGCTGTAGGAAGTTGCTGATTACATTATTTGGTGTATTTGTATCCATAACTGTAAATTTCATTATGAGCTATATCCATTATTCTTACATAATGCCCATTTTTGTGCTTTTCACCTGAATCTCATCGTGTCTGAAATTCATATAACTGCTGATTCTTTTTGTTTTAGATTTTCTTCAAGCATCATTTTTTTTCCCATTTCAGAATTACTTTGTTCTGGGTATGCCTCTTGGATACAGCATAGAGTTGGTTTTCAATTGTGATCTAATTTGAAAATCTGATTTGTTTGAAAGGTGAATTATGTTTATTTGTGTTAGTATGGCAGAGTCCCTACTCAATGTGCTTACTTTTATAAATGTGAAGGTTTTACACAATGCAGTCTGTTTTATTTGCTTTCGAAATGTGGTTTTTCTGATGTTTAGAGCAGCATTTTTTGTTCCAAATATAAATAAATATTTATAGAATATCTCACTATCATGGCCTTAGTTACTTCTTTCTTTTAACAGATTATGTTAGTTACTTACTGTGAGCAATAATTCAACTGGCTTACATTGTCTGTATTTGTCCATACTCGCTTTTCTATAGCATCTAATTTTTGTCAACAAGATGGTTTAAGTTTAGCATTTACTTTTATATTTTGAAATATGCATATTCTTCCATTCTTGATTTCTTACTTCTGACAGATATACTTCAGCTGTCATCTCATGGAGAGGAGGCAAGCAATGAGCTTAGTTTTGCATTTAAATGTACTCAATTTCACTGTCGTGCTTCTGGCCAAAGTTTTGTCCATGATCTTTTGGTTGGTTGGTGTTTAAAACCATCTAGTGATAGTTTTCTCAGGAAATACTGTAAACAGTATCCTCTCACTTGTTAGGTATCCAAAACTGTCTGCAGCCTTTGTTTGATGAGCTAGAAGTTGAAAATAAAATCAGTGTCTCATACTTTGAAGGCTATAAAATCCTTGGCTCTATATCAATTCCTTCATTTTTTTCTGAAGTAGGTTTTGCTCCCATCTTGTGATATTAAATGTTGCTGGATAGAAGCCCTAATGCCAGCCTAATTTTCCTTTTCTTATTTAAGTGACTTGAAATGTTTGTTTGGCTGTCCAAATAATTTTTCCTTATAATTAAAGTCCTTTACTTGATAAATATCTTTATTAGATATGTTTTTATACTGAAGACCTGAGTCAATTTTCACTGATACACAGTATGCATTTTCAATATATTGATTGTCTTTTTGAATTCCAGATTTTTTTCTTATATTCTAAAGTGTGTGTTCTATAGTATTAAGTTAATTTTAATCTTTCAGGGACTCCAAATATGCTTGTTTTAGAACTCTATTTCTTGTCTGTCATATTATTTTCTTTCTAATAATTTATACAAATTTTGTTTCATTATATTAATTTTTTAATTTCCATCTTGTGTGTGTCTATGCTTACCACAGCAACCCTTTTGCTTTGTTTACTTTCTAATTTTGTCTAAATCTGTAATGATTTTCCCTTTTCTTATTTTTCCTGTGTATTCCTATTTCATTTCCTCCTATTATCTGTCACCTCCTGTTATGATCTTTTTTCATAGTTACTTCATTGAAATTGTACAAATGTACATATAATGTACATTTTGTTACAATTTTTTGTCACAATTTTCTGTTTTATGGGAGCATTTTTTTCTGGTAAGTTCTTATCTATAGGAAAGTTTTGATGCTCCTTTTCATGTATTTTTCTTTCTATGTGAATTTTATGTGTATATGATTTTTGTCACCCATATCCAAATAATTTGAAATTTCCTGGACAGATATTTACAGGAATTTTTTTATGGTGATAGTAGAGAAAAAGGGAAAAGAGGGGGTAGCCCTTCTAGTCCTTAAATGACAGGATCTCTTTTTTGTTGCCATTTCTTTCATATATGGTGCCTCTGTTAGATATGTCATCTTGATCTCTCCAAACCTGACTTAGTTCATAGGGTTTTTACCACCTGTCTGACAAATCCACCGTATCTTTTCCTGGCCACTACCGCCAAGAGACACAGATATGGAATTCCAAGGGGATCCTCTCACTTCTAAGGGTGTATTTGTGCTGAGGCTGTCTGGGATCTTTCATCCCTTCATTCTGCTATCATTTCTTTGCAGCTGACCACAGCTAGGTCCCTAGGACTCCTTGTTTCCTCTGTCTTTCCTGTTACCGCTTGCTCTGAGGCTTCATGCATTGGAAAGCCACAGCTGCTTTTGGCAGCACTTATTCTAATTTGGGGCCTAGGGTTTTCTCTGACTACTTGTCCTACTGAAAATGATTATTTCCATTTTCATTCTTCTGAATGGCTTTTGGAAGTCAACATGGAAAAAGATAGAAGCAAGTATTCATCACTAAGGATTTAACTCTTTAAAAATCATCCTATCAAACTTGGCATTTGAGAACCTGATATCAATAATGCAGAAACACAGATAACTAGAAAGACCATTTAACATAAATAACACAGAAAATCATGGAGGCAATTCACAAAATGTAACTGAGCAGGCAGAATGGATGGGGGGATGAGTAGAAGCTGGTTTTCCTTGATTACAGAGGCTTCTTGCTGATTTCATGAGGAAAACAAACGTGTGTGTCCAGAAAAGAATGGAGATTCTACAAGAGAAATCTGTGGTTTGTTGGTTACATTCAATGTGAAAAGAAAATAGTCCAAAAGACATATCATGTTGAAGCCAAGCTTTACTGAAAGGAGCAGTATTTGTATCAAACCACTCCAGATCTCTGCCCACTTTCTTATGGAAATTCAACCAGATAAGTTAGAGAGCTACATGAATTACATGTTTACTATTTCCATTTAAAGTGAATAAGTACATCATCATATGTAGTAGATCCCTTTCAAGTCATTTTACCCATGCAACCTACTTGTCAGTTTATGGATGGAGACTGATGTGGTTTGGCTGTGTTCCCACCCAAATCTCATCTTGAATTGTAGTTCCCATAATCCCCATGTGTCATGGAAGGGGCCAGGTGGAGATAATTGAATTACAGGGGAGGTTTCCCCCATCCTGTTCTCCAGACAGTGAGTTAGTTGTCATGAGATCTGATGGTTTTATAAGGGGTTTCCCCTTTTGCTGGGCACTGATTGTTCTCTTGCCTGATGGCCCTGCCATCATGTAAGATGTGACTTTGCTCCTCCTTTGCCTTATGCCGTGATTGTGAGGCCTCCCCAGCCGTGTGGAAGTGTGCGTCCATTTAAACCTCTTTTTCTTTATAAATTACCCAGTCTCAGGTATGTCTTTTTTTTAGCAGCGTGAGAATGAACTAATATAGAGACACTCAGAATTTCACATCATTGTCCTTATTGCAGAAAGTTGCTTGTTTCAGTAGCAGAGATGGCTTTACATGAAGCTAATGCAGAAACCCTCACATTCATGGGACTATTCCCAGGCCCAGGGAAGAGCCTTAGCAATGTGTATCCATGGTGATAATGGCTCTGTAAAGTTTGCAATAGGAAGCTATTTTGACTTCGATTTATTAAGTCCAAGAGTTTTCCCAGTCCAACTTCCCTTTTTGACTTACTGGAATATTGTTGTGTAGTTTTCCAAGAATTTCATGTATCCAGTTAAATTATTGCTGTCCCAGTGTAAAAATGACATCCAGTAATCTACCAACTTTCTCCCTCTTTGCCAATTCAACCAATGTCATGAAAACATAGACTTATTTTATCACAATTTGAACAGAAATATATGTATCATTAAAGAGAATGAAAGGTTAAATGTATGAAGCCAGAAGCTAGTCATCAGACATATAAAATTATTATAAATGGAAAATTAGGTTCTCATCAACACCTTGTCAATTCAGAAGTTTTCTCTGCCAGAAGTAATTGAAAATGCAGTATATATAATGAGATACACATTGTACTCTTTTTTATGGAGACCACACAAAATAAAATTTCCATAGTTCTTGTGTTTGTAGGAAATAAACTCACAGTAGTGCTATAAATACCAAGTATGTTTATGTGCAAAATTTTATGTTGGCTTTTAAAATTTGTCATTTGTTGTGACTTTCCTCATTATGAATAAATATTTACATTTGTACTTAATTTTGTATTTTAGTTTTTTTCATCCTTTTTCCTAAAGAAGGCTCTCAAAATTGTGTGAGCCTCAAGCCCCACGGAAGCTGAAATAGCTTCTGTTCAACAGAATAAAATCAGAATTTCCCATACCAATGCCTGTGGCTTCCAGCTGGGATGAAGGGGAAAGAATTCCAGCTGCCAGTTCTCAATAGTTTTTGTATTCTGGATTAGTTTGCAAGATGAAAAACAATCTTCAATTTACTTGGGGAATAGTGGAGGAAAAGGAAAAGGGGTGCCCTGCTCTTTGTGACATTCCTGTTTTCCTTTCATAGACTACACTGAATAAGAATGGTTTGAGACTTGATCAAATTCAGCATGACTTAATGCTTACCTTGAATTATATGAAGTGCTGTGGAGGTTAATTTTGCCCTTAGATTTGAGCTAGTGAGGTCTCTGCCTCAGACCACAGGGTTCAATGGGTCCCTTGTATTGGAGAGCCTCCTTAAGATGTCCTGCATTTCTTGAGATGGGCTGCAGCCAGAGCTGCCATTCAGACAGGGGCTTTAAGCATAGACCATAGACCTTGGCATGCGTGGCATGGGTCTTGATCATGAAAAGCACCTATCTCCCTTTTTTTTTTTTTTTTTTTTTTTTTTGGAGACAGAGTCTTGCTCTGTTGCCCAGGCAGCAGGAGTGCAGTGGCACAAAATTTTGGCTCACTGCAGTCTCCGTCTCCTGGGTTCAAGCAATTCTCCTGCCTCAGCCTCTCTCGTGGCTGGGATTCCAGGTGTTCTTCACTATGCCCAGCTAAATTTTTTGTAGAGATGGGATTTTGCCAGGCTGGTCTTGAACTGCTGACCTCAGGTGATACACACGCCTAGGCCTCCCAAAGAGTTGGGATTACAGTTGTGAGCCACTGCGCCTGGCCACACATGTCTCAATCTTCTGTAAGTCTCACTCTGGTGTCTAGGACTGGCCATAACTGGCAATACCATCTGGAGTGGTCATCCTGAGCCTGGACCTGGACCTGCATGGTCCTTGGTCTCCCCTTCTCTGTAGAGTGCTCTCTCACTCTCTATCCTACAATCCAGTGGGATCTCCCTGGGGCTCTGTGAATAAGCCCCAGTTCCAGGAGGGTGGTGTGGTAGCAAGATGATTGCTTCTGCTAGTCTGTGTAAAATAGCGTTCACAGAATTGCATAAGACTGGACAACCAGAATTTGCTGATATGCTTATTTAGGATAACTCTCACTTATACTAGATAACAGATGGGTTTAGGGTTCTGGACTACCAGTCGTCTGTTGATGACCCATGGATTTGAGCCATGTGTTGTATTGGCCTCTGCCCATCAATGTTCCCACTGCAGTGTTCCCTTTGGTCCATAGTGCCGAAGGGTGGTGGGAGTGACAGGAGGTATTCTTTATCATGTGTGTTCCCCAAAGCTGGCACCCGGGGCAGTTACCTCATCCCCTGCCAGCTCTATGCCAGTGTCAGGCAGTCCTCCTGGGGTGGCTGTACTTATTTCCTCCTGGCTGTTGAGACTGTTGCTCCCCAATACTGACAGGTCCTTTGGGCAGACGTTCTCTCTGAATTGCCTCCTATTGATGTGACATTGAGCTTTCCTGGTTCAGTCTTATGCAGTGATAAATAAAACACAAACATTCCTTGTGAATGGGAATCCTTTTTTCCCCCTCCGCTCACAGGTGTGATGATGGTATTTGGAAGGCAGGAGTGCAGTTAACTTGAAAGAGATCACATTCTAGGAATGCAGTGATTATGGCATAATGAATTCAAGAAAAGACATGGTTGGAGAATGTGTTCTGCATTTGTACTTGAAGATTTTGAACTGTATGCTCAACATGAATTATTCACATTTCCCGCATACTTTAGATAAGACTTGAATTTGTGCCCATCAACAACTAAGCACAGCAATAACTGAGAATTGTACAAAGCCAGTATTTATAGATAATGCGACATCATTAGTAATGATGTAACCAGCATTAAATAAGGTATTATGCAAATTCTAAGGCATGAAGGTCAGTATTGTTTCCATATAAACAGGTTCTAAAGAATTTTGAGTAATAATGACGTTTCTGACTTTTTCTTAAGTGGTAGAAAGTAGCCAAGAATGGTACATCTGACAAAAGCCACAAAGGGATAGTTCCTGGATCTGAACAAGAAGGGTTGGTTCCTGGACACTGTAAAGGATCTTCTCGTGCAGATCGGGCACTAAACAAATATGTAGGTACCTCTTTTCTATCCAGTATTCCAAAGCTTCATCAGTATGTCACTATACATCAGAAAGGCTCACGCATTTTTAATACAGTTTTAAATCATGTTGTTTAATTAGATCAGGACCCCACAAAAAATAGCCTGTGGACTCACACACCCATATGGGTGACCCTGTGGGAGGCAGGACATATGACTGATAAGACCTGGTCTCTGCTCTACATATGCAACACAGACTTTTGAAATTGTTATATCTTGCTCAGGGAGTCCTTCCCTTTTTTTTGATGAAATATTAGCTGCTTGATCATTCCTATCTTAATTTCACTATATCATACAATGAGAAGCTTATTCATAATGACATAAATTTATTCTCTAATTGCCTCCACTTAGAATTTTACTATGTGTTAATTGGTTCTGTTTCATATAGCTTAGTACTTGCTTATTTATAAATTATTTCACACATATTTACTTGCTGTCTCCAAATACATTATCAAATCCTTAAATCAGATATTTTAAGTCTTTGTTTTTCAGTGTGAGCAAAAGAAGAATTTGATACATAAGCAATACATAATTGTCAGAATTGGACTATAAATATAAATTGATGTAAAGAATAATGCATGAGAATACATCTTGAGCTTTTAATTAAATACAGAGTCTAATTGCCATTACAGTTTGGTTCAGTTTGAATGTACTATTGGATAACATGGGGTAAAGTACCTCATTATATGCTGATGCTAGTGAAAAGGAAGATAAGCCTCATTGCGTTAAAATATATTAATTTTATCCTGTGCTCCTGACTTTGAAAGTCTTGATAGAAGATAGATCCATACCCCCTCCAGTTCAGAAAAGCCATAATCACTTATCATGCAGCTGATTTCTATTCTGGTGCAATCAATCTAGTTAATGTCAAGTACCACTGACAAGAGTGTTCATGACTCAGTCATCTGGAGGCATTTGAAGGGTTGGTGCAATGACTTGGATTGAAAAATAAATAGAAATAAAAGTCTTCTAGCGTGAACTTTCCTGTAATTTGAGTGGTTTCCCTAGAGCCATAACTCAGAGACACAGACAGTGAGGCTCTTTCCTTCTGAAGATGATATCACCAACTCACCTACACAAAATGGGTAGGAATAGTCCATGCCTGGCTGGAGGGGGTCCTCTGCTTTCAGCTTCAGCACAGGAATGGTAGACCTGGCCCAAAGTTGCTAGTTATTTTTTTACTGCGCAACCTCACTGTCCCCTGTAACCTTGCCCCATCTCACTGGACCAAATTTCCCACCAGGGCAGGCATCATGTTTGTCTCCACTGATGTTTCCCTTGCACCTAGCACATGGATGTCTGGCTTGTAGAGGACCTCACTCTATTACATTTAATGACAGTCTACTGATATGTGGCTGAATTCTTGAAGGTGCTAACTTGAAAGTTTGCTATGAGATTTCACTGCATTAAAAGTCTTCTAATGATATCGTGGCCCCTGAGAAGAAAAGTGCAGTATCACTTTGATATACATGGATCAGTGGAAATGAGAAATATTTATTTATAACTGTTCCCTGGCTCCAGATGAATAAGAAAAGATTGTACAAAAGACTATAGGGGTATAAAAGGACATAATTTCCCTTATACTTTATTGTCTATTCTTGTTTTACAGTTCTGATCACTCTTTCCTCGATCTTTTCTCTCTCTCATCTTATCTTTTGGTGCTACTTATGAAGTTCTTTTGGCTGGGTCATGCTACCATTCCAATTTTGCTTTGTCTAGGTAAGTTACCATTTTTTAGGTACAAAAACCATTACCCAGGGTGAGAGGGGAAAAATAAGAGGGCAAATGTAGATTGCTCAGGATTTAGTTTAACACTCTTTTTGTCCCCATCACTGGGGTTCTCTCTTTCTCCCCCACCCCATCCCTCTTTCTCCCCCACCCCATCTCTCTTTCTCTCCCACCCCATCTCTCTTTCTCCCCCACCCCATCTCTTTCTCCCCCACCCCATCTCTTTCTCCCCCACCCCGTCTTTCTCCCCCACCCCATCTCTCTTTCTCCACCACCCCATCTCTCTTTCTCCCTCACCCCATCTCTCTTTCTCCCTCACCCCATCTCTCTTTCTCCCCATCCCTCTCTCCTCTCTCTCTCTCTCTGTGTGTGTGTGTGTGTGTGTATATATATATGTACTTATGACAGGAATACTAAGAACCTCACTTGGGCATCAGTAACCTCTAAAGCTTATAACTACTCAATGATTGAATGAAGGGATACATGCATTGAGCAGGGTGTAATATACCCATAGATACCCTTTGGCTTCACATTTCCTAGGTATTCTGTCAAGAATATTTAGTAACAAATCCATTGTTGTGTGAAATGGCATTTTTAAACTTCCCTACTTGAAAGACTGTGTACTTGACACATTTTGAGCAATTACTGATGCTTTTCTTCACTGGGCTGTGCTGAGGAAGCTTCTGGACAGACCACATCTTGTAGTTAGATGAATTTGAGTGCATTTGTCTGAAAGCAGCCTAATAAATGACACTCTGCTTGTCATGGTGAAATCTCCTTTAAGCGAGAGGTGTAGGGGGGCATGTATTTACTTGTCCCATTATTCGGAAGCAGTATGGATATGCTTAATTTGACCTTTAAGCAGACATAGCTCAGGTACAACTGTCTTTCTTTATACAACTATTTGGCAAACTTTTCCTCTCTCTCCGACAGCACTAATTCCTGATTTCCTAAATTCCTCAGTCATTAAACAATGGTAGGATATAAGAGTGCCAAAGAAAATGTCACATTTAATAAATGCCAGTCATGCAGCAGGAATATGGTCAATTTGAGGTATAACTTTTTTCTAGAACCTTATTTCTTACTCCAGGCCAGTCATTTCACAGGTGGATTTGAGCACTGTGTGCATGGTGTGATTTCATGGCCTTCTTGGGAGAGCCCTACCTTAGCTCTCCTCTTGCAAGACACCTTTCCCACAACCTGCTAGCTGTTGGATGAAATTTTATTTCAGTTGTTGACACAAGTATTTCTAGGAGGGATCGTACAAAGATATTCTCACATGCTTGACTTTTAAAGGGTCAGAAAGCAGATTCTAGGAGGTGTGGGAGAAAAAGCCTATGGGGGCAGTAATATGAGAAAGCTGAGCGAGGCATCTAAAGTGGTGAAAATGAAGCAGAAATGGAATTATGGTAATAATTTCTATGACAGCCAGTCCTGGCAAACACAAAGTAGAATCTAGAATTTCTGTCTGCCTCCATGGGACAGTGATGATGAGGCTCTTAGTCACAGAAAGCCTCACCAGTATCATTCATTCAGGTGGAACAAATATGCATGAGATCTAGACAGAAATGATCTCAGTGAATACAGTCTTCTGAATGGCACCGATAGCATGCCTTTTCTTCTTTTGGTGTCCAGAGTATTGAATACATTGCAGTATTTAGGTAGAGCAAATTCTGTCTAGAATACCTACTAATAAAAATATCTAAAGAGTTAACCTATATTATTGTTTGGGGTGCATTCTTTTCCTTTATGTAAAACGTTCTTGGGAATGCTTGTGTTGATGGAGTGTTCCACCATTCCAACTATTCTGAGGAAAAAGTGCTTTTTAAAATTGGGGTACAAGGAGAAAATTGATGCTACACTGAGCAGAATGAATGAGGCAATGACACGTCTTGTGACATTAAACATCTCTCTGTAGGAATAGTTCAGGGTGTTATTAATTAATCATTCACTATCCAGAATCAGAGCTTTTTAAGTGTAGATTATCTCTGTGATTTGCGTAATAAAGAAGAATAGGAAAGATATTACATAAATTTTTATTTAATGTTGATTATGGATATTAGGAGTTGAGCTCTCATGATCCCAAAAGGATCATAACAATTTACAATAGAGTCTGCTTTATGATACTTGGAACAATGGGTTAAAATTTGCACACAAATATTTTCCCCTATAGTATTTAATATTAATCGGAAAACTTTATTTGTGATTAACATTGAAAACTATCGGGAAAAATATTTTAATCACAAATAATATTAATATTGGGGGGTGGGGCCAAGATGACCGACTAGAAGCAGCATGATCAGAGGCTCCCATCAAAAAGAAACATAATAGCATGTGAATCCTGCAGTGGCAACCGAGGTATCCGGGTTCTGTCACCAGAACTGACTAGGCAGCTGGTGTGACCCATGTAGAGGAAGAAAGAGCAGTGTGGTGGGCAGCCCACCTGAGAGCCACATGAGGCAGGGGAGCCCCCACCCCCCAGCCAAGGGAGACGGTGAGTGAGTGTGTTACCCAGCCTGGGAAACCGTGCTTTTGCCACGGAACTGTGCCACCCATGGATTGGAAGATCCCACTCGTGAACCCACACCACTGGAGCCTAGGAGCCAAGCATATTCTCAACAGCCATTCAACTAAAGCTTAAGCCTGCTGAGTTCCTGGGGGAAGGGGCAACGAGCACCACAGCTGTAGCTGTCTGCTCTCTCAGCCATTTGAGGTCCTTGTGGGGAGGGGCAGCAGCCAGCACTGGGACTGATATCTGCTGAACACACCAAGCTCCCAAAGTGGGGCAAGGGTGGCAGCCATCTCTATAGCTCCAGACTGTGCTTTTACCATGCTGGAGCCAGGGAGGCTGGACCACTTGGTCCTAAGAGGTGTCCCCCACAGCTCAACACACCAAATGTGGTAGACTGCAACCAGAGTGCCTCTTCAGGCCTGACCCTGACCTCTCTCTCCTCACTGGGCGGGACCTCCCTACAGGAACTCCAGTAACTCCCGTCAGGGGCTCAGGGATAGAATTCAGATCTCCCCGGGCCTGAGCGTCTAGGGGAGGGGTGGCCACAGTCTCTGTGGACCAGCAGACTTAGTTTTTTCTCCTGCTAGTTCTGAGGAATCCGGGCAGCCCAGATGAGTGGGTTTCCCCCCAGCATGGCGTACCTCCTCCACCCAGGGACAGTCAAAGTGCTTCATTAAATGGGTCCTCCTCCCCATGTCACTCAACTGGGTTGGCAGACACCCTCTACAGGAGCAATCCTACTGGCATCAGGTCAGTACCCCTTGAGGTCAGAGATCCTAGAGGAAGAAGAAGGCACCCATCTTTGCTGTTCTCCAGCCTCCTTGAGTGACATCTCCAGGTGCAGGAGTGAACCAGATGAATAGGGCCTGAAATGAACCCCCAGCAAACTGCAGTAGCCCTACAGGAGAGAGACCTGATCATTGAAAAAAACGAAGCAACAACAGCATGAACAACAAAAGTCCCCACTAAAACCCCATCCAAAGGTCAGCAGCCTCAAAGATCAAAACTAGACAAACTCATGAAAATGATAAAGAATCAACAAAAAAATGATGAAAACCCAGAAGGCCAGAATGTCTCTCCTCCTCCAAATGATCTCAACACCTCTCCAGCAAGGGTGCAGAACTGGATGGAGGATGAGATGGACGAATTGATAGAAGGTAGGATTCAGAAGATGGGTACTAACAAACTCTGCTGAGCTAAAGGAGCATGTTCTAACCCAACACAAAGAAGCTAAGACCATAGATAAAAAGTTAAAGGAGCTGTTTACTAGAATAACCAGTTTAGAGGGGAATATAAATAACCTGATGGAGCTGAAAAACTCAGCACGAGAACTTCGTGAAGCATACACAAGTATCAATAGCCAAATCAACGAAGCAGAAGAAAGGATATCAGAGTTTGAAGTCCACCTTGCTGAAATAAGGCATGCAGACAAGATTAGATAAAAAAGAATGATAAGGAACGAGCAAAGCCTCTGAGAAATATGGGACTATGTAAAAATACTGAACCTATGATTGATTGGAGTACCTGAGGAGACGGGGAAAATGGAAAGAAGCTGGAAAATACACTTCAGAATATTATCCAGGAGAACTTCCCCAACCTAGCAAGACAGGCCAACATGCAAATTTAGGAAATACAGAGAACACCACTAAGATATTCTATGAGAAGATCAATCCCAAAACACAATCATTAGATTCTCCAAGGTCAAAATGAAGGAAAAAATGTTAAGGGCAGCCAGAGAGAAAGGCCAAGTCACCTACAAAGGGAAGCCCATAAGACTAACTGTGGACCTCTCAGCAGAAACCCTACAAGCAAGAAGAGAGCGGGGGCCAGTGTTCAACATTCTTAAAGAAAAGAATTTTCAATCCAGCATTTCATATCCAGACAAACGAAACTTCATAAGCAAAGGAGAAATAAAATCCTTTCCAGGCAAGCAAATGCTGAGGGAATTCATCACCACCAGGCCTGCCTTGCAAGAGCTCTTGAAGGAAGCAATAAACATGGAAAGAAAAAACCGGTACCAGCCACTGCAAAAACACACCAAAATAGACACTATGAAGAAACTGCATCAACTAGTGTGCAAAATAACCAGATAGCATCATTATGACAGGATCAAATTCACACATAACAATACTAACCTTAAATATAAATAGGCTAAATGCCCCAATTAAAAGACACAGACTAGCACATTGGATAAAGAGTCAAGACTCATCAGTGTGCTGTATTCACAAGACCCATCTCATGTACAAAGACAGACATAGGCTCAAAATAAAGGGATGGAGGAAAATTTAGCAAGCAAATGTAAAGTGGAAAAAAAGCAGGGGTTGCAATCCTAGTCTCTGACAAAACAGACTTTAAATCAACAAAGATCAAAAAAGACAAAGAAGGGCATTATGTAATAGTAAAGGGATCAATTTAACAAGAAGAGCTAACTATCATAAATATACTTGCATCCAATACAGGAGCACCAAGATTCATAAAATAAGTCCTTAGAAGACCTACAAAGAGACTTAGACTCACACAATAATAGTGGGAGACTTTAACACCCCACTGTCAATATTAGATCAACAAGACAGAAAATTAATGATGATATTTAGGACTTGAACTCAGCACTGGATCAGGT
This sequence comes from Homo sapiens, assembly GCF_000001405.40. Classification (NCBI taxonomy): domain Eukaryota; kingdom Metazoa; phylum Chordata; class Mammalia; order Primates; family Hominidae; genus Homo; species Homo sapiens. The sequence continues at coordinate 53,880,352 of NC_000018.10, read as the reverse complement.
GGACCCGATAGATATCTACAGGACTCTCCACCCCAAATCAACAGAATATATATTCTTTTCAGTGACACATGACACTTATTCTAAAATCAACCACATAATTGGAAGTAAAACACTCCTCAGTAAATGAAAAAGAATGGAAATCCTAACAGTCTCTCAGACCACAGTGCAATCACATTAGAACTCATGATTAAGAAACTCGAAACCGCACAACTACATGGAAACTGAACAACCTGCTCCTGAATGACTCCTGGGTAAATAATGATATTAAGGCAGAAATCAACAAGTTCTTTGAATCCAATGAGAATAAAGAGACAATGTGCTAGAATCTCTGGGACACAGCTAAAGCAGTGTTGAGGGAAATTTATAGCACTAAATGCCCACATCAGAAGGCTAGAAAGATCTCAAATCGAGACCCTAACATGATTAAAAGAGCTAGAGAAGCAAGAGCAAACAAATTCAAAAACTAGCAGAAGACAAGAAATAACTAAGATCAGTGCAGAACTGAAGGAGATAGAAACATGAAAAACCCTTTCAAGAATCAACCCAGGTGCTTGTTTTTTGAAAAAAATTGACAAAATATATAGACTGCTAACTAGGCTAATAAGAAAAAAGAATCATGTAGACACAATACCAAATGGTAAAGGGGATATCACCACTGACCCCACAGAAATTATAAACTAACATAGAATACTGCAAACAATCTACGTAAATAAACTAGAAGATCTAGAAGAAATGGATAAGTTCCTGGACACATACACCCTTGCAAGACTAAACAAGGAAGAAGTCAAATCCCTGAATAGACCAATAACACGTGCTGAAATTTAGGCAGTAATTGCCTACCAACCAGAAATAGCTCAGGACCAGATGGATTCACTGCTGAATTCTACTAGTGGTACAAAGAGGAGCTGGTATCATTCCTTTTGAAACTATTCCAAAAAACTGAAAAGAAGGGACTCCTTCCTATCTCATTTTATGAAGCCAGCATCATCTCAATACCAAAACCTTGAAGAGACACAACAAAAAAATAAAATTTCAGGCCAATATCCCTGATGAACATCAATGTGAAAATCCTCAACAAAATACTGGCGAACTGAATCCAGCAGCACATCAAAAAACTTATCCACCACGATCAAGTCTGCTTCATCCCTGGGATGCAAGGCTGGTTCAACATATGCAAATCAATAAACATAATCCATCACATAAACAGAACCAGTGACAAAAACCACATGATTATTTCAGTAGATGCAGAAAAGGCCTTTGATAAAATCCAACATTCCTTCATGTTAAAAACCATCAATAAACTAGGTACTGATGCAACATATCTCAAAATAAAAGCTATTTATGACAAACAGCCAATATTGTATTGAATGAGCAAAAGCTGGAAGTGTTCCCTTTGAAACAAATGTATGAGAAAAAGCTCAACATCACTGATCATTAGAGAAATGCAAATCAAAACCACAATGAGATACCATCTTACACCAGTCAGAATGGCGATTATTAAAAAGTTAAGAAACAATAGATGCTGGTGAGGCTGTGGAGAAATAGGAATGCTTTTACACTGTTGGAGGCAATGTAAATTAGTTCAACCATTGTAGAAGACAGTGTGGGAATTCCTCAAGGATCTAGAACCAGAAATACCTTTTGACTCAGCAATCCCATTACTGGGTATGTACTCAAAGGAATATAAATCATTCTACTATAAAGACACATGCACAAGTATGTTTATTGCAGCACTATTTACAATAGCAAAGACATGGAACTAACTCAAATGCCCATTTGAGTTGAAGGAGAGTGGAGAGTATTTCTTTTCTTGGAACTACTCCAAGTAAAAATCAAGATGGTTCTCTGTTAAGATGAAGCTTTGCCGAGATGAGTGAGACTGGTTAGCATACCATGGCAAAAAGAATCTTCAGAATCTTAAGAGGACTTAGAAGTCATTGCTTCAAATTCTTCAGGGAAGTGAATAATGAAGGACTGTCAATTTTATAAAGAATTGAATCTCTTGCCATTTGAGAAGTCTATATGTTATTTTATACTATTGATATCACTTACCATTTTCATAATTTAACTTTGTGTCCTGGGGACACAAAGCAGTATACAAACCACTGCTTCTTTGACAGTGCTGTGAACTTCTAGAAGACAATTGTTTTTCTTACTCACTTTTGTAACTGTACCATGTAGTTCAGTGTCAGAGTTGTTGCTTAGTGAATGGTTGTCAAAGGCGTTAATGATTCAATAAAGTTATGATCTAGTTGTGAAATGAGCTAATGTACATAAAATAATAAATTACCAATACAAGGAACATGGGCTAATGCCCAATAAGATTCAGAGAATGAGAACATTAGATATTGTTTTCTTTCTGGGACGCTTAAAGAAGGACTTCATGGAGGAAGGGTAATGAGCTGAGCCTCAAATATCAAAATAATTTAAAATACTAGAGGGTATGGAGAAAGGGGAACCCTCATACACTCTTGGTGGGAATGTATATTATTAGTATAGCCACCATGGAGAACAGTATGGTGATTCCTCAAAAAACTAAAAATAGAAATATATTATCTGCAATCCCACTACTAGGTATATATCTAAAAGAAATAAAATAAGTATGTTACAGGCATCTGCTTTCCTGTGTTTATTGCAGCACCATTCACAATAGCTAAGGCATGGAATCAACCTAAGTATCCATTAGCAGATAAATGGATAAAGAATATGTGGCACATATACACAATAGAATATTATTTATCTATAAAAGAGAAGGAAATTTTGTCATTTGTAATAACATGGATGGAATTGGAGGACATTATGTCAAATGAAATAAGCCAGGCACAGACAAATATTGCATTTTCTCATGTGGGAACTAAAGATTATTGAACTCACTGAGATTGAGAGAAGAATGATGGTTAGCAGAGGTTGGGAAGGGATGGATAAAGATGGGATGGTTAATGGGTATAAAAATGGGATAGAAGGAATAAGATCCATAGTAGAACAATATGCTAAGTATAGTTAACAATTTGTTGTATATTTCAAAACAACGAAGAGTGCAATTGGAATGTTTCTAATGCAAAGAAATGATAAATGATTGAGGTGATGGATACACACTCCAGTCACCCTGATCTGATCACTAGACATTGCATGCATGTATCAAAATATCCCATGTATCTGATACATATGTACAGCTATGATGTATCCATAATAATTGGAAATCTAAAAGTTAAACCAAAATAGTTGTGCATGGAACACACTATTCTTGCATCAATTTTCCTACTTTTGTGGTATTCCCTTTTTGTGGGGGTAGTATTGATTTGATTGGGAATCCAAGAGGCAAATTTATGGTTTTGGAGGAAAAAATGATATCAAGGTTGGTGAATAGAAATTTTGCGTTAAGTAAACCCAAGGAAACATAAAAAAGTCGCTAGTAATTTTGGGGGAGATCAATGAGAGAGAGAGAGAAATCGGCATTCTTTTGACTTAGTGATGAGAACCAAGAACACCATTAAGTTTGACTAAGTTAGAATTTTAATAAAGGCTGAATTGTGTATATTCCCCTCCAGGATGCCCTGGCAATAGGGTTTCCAACCTTATGATGATGACAATTTACTGGGATAAAACTCTACATGCTAATCAAATATATTGTAATCAGATTCAGAGCAACATGTTGTCTAATTAGCTCCATATTTGGAAATGATTTAGGGAGGGGTTGACAGCAGTTCATGAGCTAAATAATTTATATTGGTACAAAATGGTGACATTAAGCCTGCTTCATGAGATCATCTTTGAGTTGCTGCAGACCTGGTTCCTCTCACTGGTTTAATCACGTGCATTGTAAGTCTTCAGTCATATTGTTGTATGCCCACCAACATTGCTGTCTGGAAAAAACTTTAGATAGGTTAAAGCTAATTTTCTTGGTGATCAGAATAATTTGGTTTGGGTTCAGAGCACAGGGCAAGGATAAAGGATGTCTCTCTGCAGATTTCGGGTGTAAAGAAATGAATGGAATGCTAGAGAGCCCCAATAAATCTTTACTGAGTGTTGTCTCCCATGCCTGTTGTGATAGGAGTAAAATAGTGGCAGCTATCTTCTTCGAAATGAGGGCCGGACATTACCACAAGGAAGAGAGCAAAAGGAAAGAGCTTCTGCTATTTTTTTTTTTTTTTTTTTTTGAGATGGAGTCTCGCTCTGTCACTCAGGCTGGAGTGCGGTGGGCACTATCTCGGCTCACTGCAACCTCCACCTCCCGAGTTCAACCAATTCTCCTGTCTCAGCCTCCGAGTGGCTGGGACTACAGGCGCCTGCCATCACACCCGGCTAATTTTGTAGTTTTAGTAGAGATGAGGTTTCACCATATTGGTCAGGCTAGTCTCAAACTCCTTACCTCAGGTGGTCCGCTCACCTTGGCCTCCCAAAGGAAAAGCAATTGTGAAAAGATGGAATGTATGAAAACTGGAAACTTGATTTCTCTATCAATAAGTCATGGCCTCCCTGTACCTGCCTAGTCATCTGCTTCAAGGTGAATAGCTGGGTGCTCTGAGAAAGGTGATAACCACCTGTTTTGGAAGGTATTTTGCCAACCCAAAGACCATAATCTCTGACAACTTTGGTGAGTTTGAGTTTCTGTGCTCCCATCTATTCTTGATTAGGAAGGTGGAGGAAGTAGGGAAGGTTAAAGAGGATAGAGTGAGAGTTAAGAAAATGGTCTGGCACTTTTGCAAGGTATTCTGCCCTCAGGAGAAAATGAGAGGGATCTCTGAAATGTCAGAGAGAAAGAGATCAAAAATTGGATAACTGTCAAGAATTTTAGACTTTATGCATGATAGTAAAGTTGGGATGGCTTTGAAATCTATCATATAAGAAAATGCTATGAAGGTGATACATTGGGCTGGTTGCAAGTTAAGTGTTTTAGCAACAAATACATTAGTTTCATTAATAAACATTATAAAATATTAAATGCATTTTCTTGTGGAGTAGGAAATCAAATATAAATTTCTGAAGCAACCCACTACTGTGGAACATTTTGTTCCCACATTCTGGTTCCCAGGTCTAGCATCTCAGCAGCATCGAGGCTGCTGTTCAAGGTGCTCCCTCTGCCATTCCAGTCTGCTAGAGGGTTGGATGTGGCCAAATAGAGGTCGTGAGAGACGAACAGGGAATCAATGACTATCTTCTCCTCTCATCTACACAGGTATGGTTTCAGGAAAGGACCTGATATCAAGCTTTATACCACTCTGATTTGGATGATTGTGTTACAGTAATCCCCACTAATTACCAAGCAGTCGGCTAACAAACGACATCTGATCTCTTAAAAATTCCTGGAGAGAGTATTCTATACATAATCTGTCCACCTACTCTTCCTCTATGTGCTATGATCTAGTTTCCAATTCCACCACTGTATTGAAAAATTTCCCTTTATATCATCTATATCCTTCTTGTTTCCAAATATAATGGATATATTTTCTTCTCTCACTTAGACAATTATTATCTCCTTATTAATCTTTATTATCTCCTGACTTGGTAATAAGAGGTTCTTCCATTCATCTTTGTTTCTGTCTTTTCTGTTGGTTTTTCTCTCACTGCTTATTCTTTAGATGGTGGTATTCTTCAGGATCCTATCATCAATGTACAATATTCTCAGCAGCTTATTCTCTACAAGTAATTTCAACATTCTTTTTATCTGCTACCAACACCTTAAATCACTATCTCCAGCACAGATATCTCCTTCTAACTTGAGATGTGTATATCTAATAGCTAATGAGACATCTCTACCTGTATAATATATAAGCATCCCAATTCAGTATGACCCCAAATGAACTAACCATCTTCTTCTGAAACCCCACTTAAGAAAAAAGATTTTGGTTGGTAGCACCACTATCCACTTAGATAGCTATAAACCGGCAAGTTTTGTATAAACAGTGTGTTTCACATGACTCTTGCTAGTGAGTACAAAGATGTAAAATGTATAGTAATCCTCTAAGCATAATCATACCCCTCACCCCCAGCTGCTTCAAGCAGGGACATTATTCATTCTGGTTTTCTCCCTTCCCTCTAGAAGGCAATGTGTGGTGTGGTGATCAGGACTTACTCAACAGCTATGCAGATGCTATGTTCTGGTGCATATTGCTTTAGTCCCTATGGCTCCATGGATCATTCTCACCCTGCTGTTTATGGTTATAACCTTCTGTATTTCTCTGCTGTCATCCTTGGTCATTTTCAGATCTGCGATTTCCATGGGCCATTTCTTGGATAGGTACTATCTCACTCTTCCCTCCAAACACACAACTCATGTCCTGTGCGTGTTTTTTTCTTTTTTTTCTTTTTTTTTTGGAGGGGTGGGGTGGGGTGGGCAAAGAGTCTCACTCTGTTGCCCAGGCTGGGGTGCAGTGGTGCGATCTCGGCTCACTGCAACCTCTGCTGCCCAGGTTCAAGCAATTCTCCTGACTCAGCCTCCCGATTAGCTGGGATTACAGGTGCCTGCCACCATGCCCAGCTAATTTTTTTGTATTTTTGGTAGAGAAGGGGTTTCACCATCTTGGACAGGCTGGTCTCGAACTCCTGACCTCATGATCCACCTGTCTCAGCCTCCCAAAGTACTGGGATTTACAGGTGTCAGCCACCACGCCTGACCCTTTTTTCTACTCTAAACTCTGGATGACCACCTCATTGAGCTTTTAAAAAAAAATTGTTGTCAGAGTTAATGATGTCTGTTCATGGGAAGAGACAGTGTCTGGCTCAGGAGATAGGCAGAGTCTCATTCTACCTGGAGCTGCTGCTGTTTCTGATTCAAGGTACCCAGCATGCAGTATGCATTATGCTAAGTTTGCTACTCAACCTGGCATATATGGACAGATTTTTTACGATCTCATGGTGATAATCTCTCAGGGACTTTATTCCCTGACTTCTAGGTGACACACTAAGATCATCAAAAATTCATAAACTCTAATAAGTAATTATGCTGAGGTCAGGTGACTTGTTGGGACCCATGACAGTCAGAGGATGTGGCTGGGTATCCATATTCCTGCTTCAGTTCATGGTAGTCAAGAAGTTTCCTACTTTCAGAGACCATTGGAGAGGAACAATCAGAGGGTGACCCTGCCTAAATCACCCAGCACTCTCATCTCTACCCCAGAAAAATATGAATTCCACAATTCTGAAGTTAAAAGAACTCTGAAAAGTAAGAAGTTCTCACCAACCATTTGGCAATGAAATCTGACCTGGCTTCAATTCCTTTGAGGCAGAACTGGACTGGACTGAAATGAAGTTACCTCTTAATTGATATCACTTGATACTAATACTCATACTTCATTGAAGAAATGTTAATATGTTTGACTGTGGCACTGGTGTAGGTCCTCCTGCCTGTGCTGTGAAATATATGTGTGTGTGTGTGTGTGTTTGTGTATGTAAATATATGTATATGTATATATATATCATATTATTTGTATTAAACCAGAAACTTTCCATATCCTGAAACACTTCTGAATATATGGATTTCATGTAAGAGACTGTGACTATGCTCTTTTTTTCACTTTTATTTAAGTTCAGGGTTGCATGTGCAGGTTTGTTATATAGGTAAACTTGTGTCACAGGGGTTTGATTGCAGATTATTTTGTCACCCAGTTATTCAGGCTAGTGTCCATTAGTTATGCTGTTTAATATACATTCCTGATTTCTCATTTTGGGCATTTTTCACATGACCAACCATCACATCCTGACAATTTTAATTCTATTTCTAGAATCTTTCTCTTTGCCTGTATTCCTGCTGTCAATAATTTAGACAATGATTGACTTCAATATGTGGGTAATCAGGGCAGGCTAATAATTTGGGCGACTTCAGACCAATATTATCTAATTAATAGGATGATCATTGTGTAAAACAAACAAAAACCCACGGAGACAGGGACTCCCGGTAGCTGTAGGATTAGTCTCTCCTCTGTTGTCTAGAGTAATTTAGCTCTACCCTAAATTTGTGTTCCCATCTAGTAAAATGAAAGCCCTGCTCCTGACTGAACCTCCGCTTATATAGTAAGTATGACCCCTTGAGATGTGAGCGGTCTTCCTTTTTACTCCAGTTGTTTTATTAAATAATTCTTTCTAAATGCATATACTTCTACTCCGAAAACGAGGTTGGTAAATCCAAGGTGCTCCACCATGTTAAACTTCCAGCATTGTTTTCACGCCTATAATAGTGTGTGTCTGGTGGACTCTCTCTTTTTTGGCATTGGTCTTATTCAGCTTTTCATTAAATCATTACAGAACTATTGAATGTTTCCAAACTGGCTTCTCTGCTTCTGTTTTCTCTGTTCAAATCCATCTTCTCATAGCCACTAGACAGCACAAATTTGACCACACCACACCTGGGCATCAGGTTGCTAAATATCACCCCTTTTCCTACAAGTTGATATCTGAACTTTTTTTTTTTTTTTTTTTTTTTTTAACAGAACACAAAGGCGTTTGCTGATCCAGGCTTGGCCTATCTGTCTCTTCTCATTTCCTTCTTTGAATTTTATTCTTAAGCAACTTAAAGCTGCCTATATTATTTTCTACACTTGATGCTGTTTTTAGTTTTTATATATTTTTTAATTTTGTTTGAGATGGAGTTTTGCTCTTGTTCCCAGGCTGGAGTGCAATGGCACGATTTTGGCTCACCGCAACCTCCCTCTGCCTCCCAGTTTCAAGTGATTCTCCTGCCTCACCCTTCCAAGTGGCTGGGATTACAGGCATGTGCCACCATGTCCGACTAATTTTGTATTTTTATTAGAGACGGGGTTTCACCATGTTGGGCAGGATGATTTTGAACTCCTGACCTCTGGTGATCCACCTGCCTCAGCCTCCCAAAGTGCTGGGATTATAGGCATGAGCCACCGCACCTAGCCGATATTGTTTTTATATCTATTCTCTTGTATTTGTTTGCATTTCTTCCTGAAATGATGGATTTTCTCCACCCCCAGTCTTCTGCAACAAATGGGTGTTACCTCCTTTAGGAACCTCTTCCATTCCCCCTCGAGTAAGTTAGATAGACCCCCCACCTTTGGTGTGATATTAAAAATATTTTTGTGTATGGATTGGGCATTAAACTGTTGTTATAATTATCTGTTTGAATATTTCACATAAGCATATACAAGAAAACATTGTAGTTAAAACCAACTTTATATCCAGTTCCTAGATCAATATGTAGCAAATAGTAACCCACATAGAGTAGGCACTTACAGAAATGCATATTGGATAAGGGCATTATTTTTATTTTATAGAGGAGAAAGCTGGGGCTCAGATAGATTATACAACTTGTTGTAATGGCTATTTGTGTTGCTTTTCCCTGTATGGCAGAGGCTGGAAGCCTAGAAACTACATTTTCCAGCAGAGGTTTTGTTTAGTTTCCTTCAATATGAGGCTCTTAATTGGGATTAGACTGGTAGGCAAAAAGAAGGTAGAAGTTACTCTTTTGGCTTTGGAATGGTGCAGAGTGCTACAAAAGTGATAGTGATGGAAGCAGGAAGTGTGGGTACCTGAAGCAGTGGAGAAGTGGAGGGGGCCCCTTGGTGGAAGCTTGGACTGGGGGGTTTCAGCAGCTGCTTGTGGTGGCACAGAGTGTGGGACTGGGCAATGATGGCAGGCTTCCGACTCTTCCTGAGTTCTAGATAGCACCACCTTCCTTTGTCTTCTCTTTTCTACTACTCTAGCTCATTCAGGAATTTTGTAACCCAATTCCTTCCTACTTGAAAGGCTTAGAACTGATTTTGGTTTTCCTGATTAAACTTTTGAAATTTTTGCTTTAAGTCACACAGTAATTAAATTGCAAAGTTGTGATATAACTTAAGTCTGCCTGACTGCAAGGCTTATAGCCTTTGAGCACGCTGCCTTCTTGTAATTGCAGAAGAAAACTTTGAGTAGAAAATACCTTTTTGCCATCTTTGTCAAGAACTTAGATTTCAGCTAAGAGTAGAAACATTACATTGTAGAAGGAAGGATCCTTTTTGCTGATGGCAGCCTAATCTCCATATGCATAAAGTCAGTCCCACGCAGATAGTTTCCTCATATTTTTAAGGGATAAACACTCAGCTTTTCTTTTCTAAATGTGAAAGACAAAGTCCAGGCCTTTTCTGCCCAGCAAGGTGGCTGTAGGAAAACAAATCAGGTAAATGATCTCCTTGGGAAGCTGTTGATCAGAAAGCACCTCAAATGCATGTGAAGTGAGTGTTTCATGCTTTAACTTATGACATTACTTTTATAGAGGCAAAGCTAAAGTCACAGAGAAACCATGCCATGCAACTTAAGAGACTTATCTTAATTTTCAGAGCAGCTTAACACTCACCCAGAGTCAGAGCAAGAAGGGAACTCATGGGGGAACACTTAGTAAATAGTAGGCGGCATAGCAGGTGCATCTGAGCTGTTTGCTATGGGTAGGAGAGTATATGCATGTGGAGGGGAAGGTTTTGACTGAATTTCTTATCTAACTTTTCTTACTTTTGAATCTGTTTATCATACCAATATTACAGGATTATGTTGAAGAATAAAATGCTCAGTCAGTGTGGGCTTATGGTAGATGATTAATGCTTAATTAACATTTCTCCACCTGGAGTCAGTCAAAATATTTATGGAGCATTTTCTAATTGCCAAGCGTTGTTCTAAGTGCTATGAGCAAGGTAGTGTGTCTGCTGCCAAGAAATGACATCTAGAATACACTGCTTTCATTTTTCGTTTTAACACTCTCCCCCATTTTCCCCAGCTCTCTCAAGTCCCTGAATTGTCTTACATCTCTGAGCAAATTAAATAAGTCAATGGAATGGAGGAAAGTCAGATTAACTGTTATGATATCCAGCATAAAGTGCCTTTAAAACATCTGAGAAAGGAGACTTTATCAAGGGGCCATTTGTGGCCTCTTTTGTGGAACTTGGAGAAAGGAAGCTACGTGAATTGCTAAATCAGAGCGTTAGATATGAGACAAACATACCTTTCTGTTAAAAATGTCCCAGTTGTTTTGTTGTGGATGTGTCTTTTTCTTGGTCTCTTATATGTGGGAACATCTTACAAAATCAAAGATTGAAGAGCTCCTGTGATAGTTGGGAAGTATTTCTGAATGCCCTGGTGTCGGAGTGGGTACAGTGGGAATTGCCTGGCTTTCTGATGCATTTAGACAGGGATTACTGTTGACATGTTTTGAGTTCCTTGTTTTGGAGGAAAGCAAAGAAATCTTCAGCTCTTCTAAGCAGGATTAATTTTGTTTTGTTTTCGTACTTTGGCATAGTGGCAGTTATTTGCTAATGAACTGCCAGACTGGGTTGCACTTAACTTCCATGTCTTTTCTTCTGATTATTATGAAATAGGATTTACTATTGTTTTTGCCCTCGCATTTCCAGGTTGAAATATGTCATATGGCCAATTTACACAGATTCAGGGTAGTGAGAGGCCAGGTTGTCATGAAGACTTCTACCAAGCTCCTCAAATAAACTTGAATTTTTCCAAATTATGTAATTTTCAAGCTGGCCAGATATACATTTTTCTAATTTCTATATTTTGCAGAAAATGAAACATTTCTATAGAGATAAGAGGTTAGTTTCCTTTATAATTAACATGTCTATGCATTTAAAGATATTTAGATAGATCAACCCTTGAGGTAGGTGTATGAAATTTGAATACATTTTTTTCTCCATTAAATACTGGCTTTCACTAAGTATATTTGAAATTCACAAATCTGTTCCCATGAATATCAAAACTAAACGTTTGCGTCACCAAAATTGTATATCCCAATGCTTTTCAGTCTGTGGTAAAGATCTTATTTCCAATATTGCAAACTGATAATTTTATAAAATATAAAAGTAAATTAATAGAAATGAAGTAAAAGGACACAAGGATATGCAAAATACAAACCCACCTTAAAAAAAGATATTAGATGCAACAGATGTAGAATTACTGTCAAATTTTATAAAAGTTTCTGAAGATGTACCTTCAATTTAGTTGCTTTTAAGGGACCAGTGGCAGTCTGTAGGCTCATGTCATCCTGTGGATCACACTAAAAGTAGCACTAGCAGCCAGTTTTACCCTTTAGCTTTTGCCTGGTTGTGTAGACCACATCAGCAATTATATCTCCATAATTCTGTTTCTTCTTGGTTTACACTAACTGCGTAGCTCCATCTACGCCAAGAATCCTGCAGAGCAGTGTTGTCCAATAAAAATATCTCATAAGACTATATGTAATTTTAAATTTTCTAGTAGTCACATTAAAAAATTAGAGGGCTGGGCATGGTGGTTCACACCTATAATCACAGTGTTTTAAGAGGCTGAGGAGGCCAGTGAGGATCTTTGGGTGGATTGCTTCAGGCCAGGAGTTCAAGGCCAGCCTGGGCAACATGGCGAGACCCCATTTCTACAAAAAATTTAAAAAGATTAGCCGAGTATGGCAGTATGTACCTGTAGTCCCAGCTACTTGGAAGCTGAGGTGGAAGGATGGTTTTAGCCCAGGACTTTGAGACTGCAAAGAGCTGTGATCATGCCACTGCACTCCAGCCTAGGTAAGGCTGTCGCGTTTTTTTTCCCCCTCTCTAAAAAGGATATGTATATATATTAAAGGAACAGGTAAAATTAATTTTAATAATTTTTTGACCTGATTTGTCTAAAAATTAACATTTCAACCTGTAATCAACATAAAGTATTATTAAGGAGATGTTTTACATTCTTTTTCTCATACTAAGTCTTTGAAATCTAGTGTGTAGTTTCACCTATAGCACAATCTGATTTGGACCATCCACATTTCAATGTTTAATAGGAAACACTGTCAAGCCCACAGAACAGAAAGGATACAAAATTTCAGTTAGGCAAGAGGAATAAATTCCAAAGCTCTACTGTATATAATGATGACTACTGTTTGTAATCATATGCTGTATACTTGAAAATTGCTAAGAGAATAAGTTTTAGTATCTTCACATATATACAAAAGATAAGTAGATGGGGTGAGGGATATGTTCATTACTAATTTAATCATTCTACACTGTATACCTATAACAAAGCAGCATGATGTACAGCATAGATATATGCAATTTTTACTTGTTAGTCAAAATAAATGCAGCAAATATTACAACAAATAATTTTTAAAGGAAATTTTAGGCAAAGAGGTGATGAACCCAGAATTCAGGATAATAATTATTTCTGATGGTGTTGGGGAGTAAGGAGCATAGGATACGAGGAATCATATGGTAAATTGTTATTTGTTGTGAATGTTTTAACTTTTGGGTTTTGATGATTTCGACATTACTGAAACTAAATACCTAAATATAAGTCATCCATACATGGGAGTGAAAGTATATCATGAAGGAAAAATTATGGTTAATTTAATTATCTGGCTCTGAAGTCCAAAGATAATAACTAAGTATTCAAAAGATAATAATTAAATATCCCAAAGATAATAATAAAAGTAGAACAAAAACAGTGGTATAAGAAAACAGTTATTTTTTCCATAGAGTGGGTAAGAAATACAGAAATGATAGAGGAAAGGTTGATAAATGTGACTAAATAAAAATTTAAACCTCCTGTTCAACAAAATAATACTGTACACAATGTCAAAAGCCCTACCACAAACTAGAGGAAATGTTATAACACATTTGACAGAGAAAAGGCAAATTTTGTTAATATTAAAGAAAGTACTTATAAATCAATTAAAAATAATTAGACATCAGGGAGATACAAAATATCATATTTTACATTATCCAATTGGCTGGGATTTAAAAGTTTGAAAATACAGGGTAGAACATAAATCTTTCCAACCACTTTGGAAGGCAATTTAGTATCAAATATAAAAATTTAAAATGCATGTACTCTTAGGCCAAGAAATTCACATAAATCTGTACTCTCACACATGTGACAAATAATGTATTTTAAGGAATAATCATAGCAAAAGACAGTATACAAAATGCAGTTGTTAAGAAACAATGAGTCATATCTTCATTTGCTAATATTGAAATTTTTATAATACCTTGTTAAAGCAGAGCACAGAACAATGTGTAAAGTTTATTCCCATACGTGTAAAAAATCAAGCACATTATATCTAGAACTGTATTATGTAATATAGTAGCCAATAACCACATGTGACTATTAAGTCCTTGAAATGTGGCTAGTCTGAACTGAGGTATGCTATAGAACAAAGAACCCACTGGATTTGCAAGGCTTAGTATTAAAGGAAAGTAAAATACCTTATTAATAAGTTATTATTTTGATTACAAGTTGAAATGATGACATTTTGAATATACTGGGTTAAATAAAGTAATGGAAATTTCACCTGTTTCTTTCAATTTTAAAATACTGCTACTAAAACACTTTAAATTACATATATGGCTTGGATGACATTTCACTTTAGGCAGTACCAATCTAGCAAATACACAGGAAAGTGTTAAATATAGCTGCATCTGAGGAGTGGAATTGGAGATTTAAGATGAGATGAAGCTTCAGTTTTTACTGTCTACTCTTTTAAACGTTGTGCTTTTTAAAAATTACATAAATGGACTATCTTTGTAATAAACATATTGTAAAACATATCTGTTAAATAATTAGAAAAAAAGAACTAGTTACTGCTTGGGACCACGTTGGTTTCTGTGAGTTAGGTGGTCCCTGGTCTGTTAGTCCCTGGAACATTTGTATGAAGTACCTGTAGTTTTTGAATTGTCATCCTGTATTAGCTTGGCATCTTCAGTAGAGTTTGGAATAGTGGTCATTAGAATTGACTTGAGAGAGAACTGCTGTTCCGCACTTCCTCCTGCCCTATTCCTTACACTTCCATTTATTCTTGTCCAGATGACTAATTAGGAGAAAAATGAGGAAGATAGAGGAGTGGGAACTGACAATAAAAACAAAGACACTTTGGGAAGGTTAACAACCTGAGAAACGTATTTATCATATCAAAATATAAATATCCATGTATGTTCTTAATGCTCCTAAAATCTGAGTGTAAGTTTGTCTCTGTGTATTTATCTATGAAAGGATTAAAAAAGTATAGAAAGTATGAAAAACCATCATCTCCCCAGTTCCCTCACAGTCCACATAATAGATCTTTCTGAGATTTGAAAAATGCCCCACATCTATCATTTGAAAGTCACACCTAAATATGCTGCTACCTTCTAAGTAATCTTTTATTTTTAATTGTAATATTATTTATGAGTTTGCACTTACCAGGAATTCTGTGTTGCTTTAAAAGCGATGGTATGAAACCCAATACATCAAGAGAAAGACATGTGCTGTTGAAATATCGTCCTGAAAGTCATCATTCCGATGATGTATATCATAATAGGTATGGAAGAGTGAAGTTGAATAATGAGTCTCTGTGCTGTGCATTTTTGAATGATCCCTGCGAACACTGTGACAATTATTATCCCTGTGCAACGTGAGATAATCACAACGTGTTTGCCTGCAGAGGGAACCAGTCTGCAAGGTATCTAGTCATATACACCATTGACAGTGGGCCACATCCACTGTAAAGTACTAAAAGCATAGGAAAAAAATAAAATAGATTGCATTTGAGTAAAATTGAGCCAAATCCCATCCTTATGACTCCAGGAACTTCTCATTACCTAGATTTGTTGGACTGGTAAGGGCAAGCTGTGTATATAGTCCTAGTCCTTTAGGTAGCTCTGCAGGTACACATGTGCCCCTTGAATTTAAAATAAAAGTTGAAATTATTTTTAAAAATCAGTAAATCAAGACTTTTTCATGAATAAGAAACTTCTTCGGGTGAAGTCAAATTTCTTCTCAGCTCTGAGAATCCTGGTTATGTTTCTGTAATTATTCAGTAGATTTCTTGTACGTCTTCATATTCATAATTACCTGGTATTTAACTTTCCGTGATGACATTATTAAATCTAAGGTGACAGCTCTTCACTTGTGACATTTAATTTACTTTTCAATTTTCCTTCTTCCCTTGGTCCTTTAAATGGTTCTTAAAGGCAAACAACCAAGGAAACACTGTCCAGCCCACAAAACATCAGCTATGATTATTTTTCTTGATAAATATCTTCAAAATAAATGTGCAAATTCAAGTTTCAGTAGAGTTATTTCAAAGTAGTATCCTTTACGCACAGAATGGTGGTGCTCAGATGCTGAATATGTTTTTAAGATTTGCCTAAGAAAGAGTGCTTTAGGATATGTTTGCTGCTAGTTATGCTAAAGGCCATAAATTGCGCAGCAAATTTCTTTGGTATCTGCTGTGTCCTGATTGAAAAGTCACAAAAGGTTACCTTTTTACATAAGGTGAACAAAAGAACAAATCTCATTTACTTATTTTCCTACAGATAAATGTTTTCCTCTGGTTCTCTTGCACACACTTAAGAATTAAAAAAGAAACAATTATTTTTCATACAATGAAGAAAATATTTTTAAAAGAAATATGTAAAATGAGTAAGAGAACATAATTTATGGGACTTTGGACCTTTCAAATTGGGGAGTTTTATTTCGGAAGTCATTAAGTTTTTATGAAATCTAAGCTGGATACAGAAACCAATAAGCATATTCCCTTGATTTTATAAAATGTATAATGTACTTAATTATAAGCATTATTGATGATTGCTCAGCTACTGTCTTTTATACAAACACTATATCCACCATGGTGTCCTCCAAAAATGAGGTTTTCTGTTTGCCACAAGGTTATAAATGCTCATGCACTCGGCACCACTCCTTTAATTATCATATTGCTCAATTTATCTTTATAAGCCACCTGTCTCCTATTACACAAAACTTGCTTTAAAAGTGGAAGGAGAATGTTACTTTCAGGACTTGATACCAGTGGTTTTTTTTTTTTTTTTTTTTTTAAATTCTGCTTATTAATATAACAGAATATCGTTGGCTGAAAGGACAAGTAGAGGGCACATCCCTAATATCAAGCATAAGGCAGGCATCTATTTTGCATTAATAACCTGTAATTCACTGGGCTTCCAGGAAGTTATTTTTTCTGTTCTTTTATCCCATCTTTTTTGACCATTCCACCTTGTGAAAAAGGCTACTGCCCTGCCCATACTTCTTCAGGCATCATCAGTTCAGCGTGTTCAAGCCAATTTTCAGCTATGCACCTTTGAGCTTCTTCTGGCCATTCAAGCACACTTTATCTAGAAAAATGAGAATCTCTAAGTACCAAAGAAGTAGTGTCTCCTGGGAGCAGGTTCCAACTAAAGACTGATGGCAATTGGTTTCCTTTCTCTTTGGAAGGATCACTTCGAAGCATGCATTGTGCAATGGTTTGGAGAGTTCCCCAGTGAAATTCAGCTCTGGTTGTACCCTTGATTGGCTGTTTTCCCTTTCCTGTCTCTAGTTCAGACTCTCCTACCAGGGTTTCCAGGAGCCACCTCCAAAATAAACTATTTGTACTCAAATTCTTGCCTCAGGGTCTACTGCTTGGGAACCCAAATTAAGACACTTCTAATCACTTTTTCTGGGTTATCTTCTGGACATGTTAGAATAACCCAGGGCTTAGTCCATGGACTTCTTTTCTTAATTAAATTTATTTTCCGGGTGATTTCATGTAAACCTAAGATTTCAAATATCCTTCAGAATTATACAAAAGGCTCTGTCTTCTTTTCAGAACATCAAATATCTCATTGATATCTCCACTTGGATGTCTACACGGTATCTCAATATTACATTTCCTAAACCAAACTCTTGAATTTCTTCCCTAAGTGGCTGGGAACTGAATATCCCACGTGGTATTTGGATTTTTATGTTGAGTGCATTGGTCCTAGCTATGTCATCAAGAGGCATGCAAAATGTGCTTCCTGCATCTTCAATAGGTGAGAACTTCAAATATTTAAAGAAAATAGCCATGTGTCTTTTATTCGTGGATTCTCTGGGATGTAGTTTTAATAAGCCTATTTTGCTCAAATGTTCTCATATAGCAACAGTCAGATTTATCACACTCTTCTCTGTACATATCCCAGTTTTCACTATTCCTCTCAAAATATAACTAGAATTAAATCTGATATTTCTGATGTGCTCTGTCCAAGGTGGGATATATCACACATTGTCACACATTCATCATATTCACAAGTATGCGCATGCCCTCTTCCTCTGTCTCTCCTTCTTGTGTCTCCCTCTGTCTCTCCCTTTGTCTCTTTGTCTCTCTTTCACCCACACATATACACATTTTATCAGGTTGTATGCTTCACTTGCAAGTCATTGAATAGAACTTCTTTGTACGTGTCAGCAATGTTACTGTTTTGTTATTTTTAATAAAACTAGACAATCATAACTAGTAAAAAAAAAACACATCTTGACAGATTTTCACAGAGCAGTCTTGTTTTTAAAATGTAATTTAAAGATACTTTCTAGCTTCAGAAAAGGGCACTGTGAGAGGATAAAAAAACAATATAAATCTGTATGAAAACAAAGCAGCGGTGTTTAGTTTGAGTAGTTTTTGCTTTGTGACATTGATCTGGATGGCCTATTGGCCTATTCATCCTTTCTTTAGGGGAATCTGCAAGTCTGAGTTAGTGTGAAATTTGAAAGAAAACACAGACTACATTTTTTTTTTGTCAAATGGAGAAGCTATATATTCTCTTGTCAACCAGGCCTAGGTTAGCAACAATTGTTCTTTGTACTTAAGAAGATGGATTTGTTTTGGTTTAGGAATTGTCAAGCCTTAACAAGGGAACAGTCCTACCAAGAAAGCAAGAGATGTGAGCATAAGGAGGACATGCTCTAAGAACAACTAATCCTTTAATAAAGAGATCAGCCACTTTCCTGGGTACTGATTAAAACAATAATGATAACATTATGCTCTTATATGTGCACAGCATTTACAGACTTGAAAGCGCCTCTCCCTCCCTCCTTCCCTCCTTCCCTCCCTCCCTCCTCCCTCCTTCCCTCCCTCCCTCCTTTCCTCCCTCCTTCCTTCTGCCCTCCCTTCTTCCTCCCTCCCTCCTCCCTCCTTCCTCCCTCCCTCCCTTCTTCCTCCCTCCCTCCCTCCTTCCTCCCTCCCTCCCTCCTCCCTCCTTCCTCCCTCCTTCCTCCCTCCCTCCCTCCGTCCCTCCCTCCTCCTTTCCTCCCTCCCTCCTTCTTTCCTCCCTCCCTCCTTCCTCCCTCCCTCCCTCCTTCCTCCCTCCCTCCTTCCTCCCTCCCTCTCTCCCTCCTCCCTCCCTCTCTCCCTCCCTCCCTCCCTCTCTCCCTCCCTCCCTTCTTTCCTTCCTTTCTTCCTTCTGGTTAAGTACTTAATGTGTGCTAGAGAATTGTGCTAGATACCAGAGATGCAAAATAAAATAGAACTTTTTTTCCTGTTAGGAAGAGAAGGTCAAAATTATAGAGCCTGCCTTTATTATATAGTGTAATTTGTTCATCTGTAAGGTGACTTATGTAAACTCCATGAGAACTCACACTATTTGCACAACAAAGCTTACTTTCTTGACACTTCCCTGCAAGTCAATAGGTATATAGACTGATGTACATGTTAGACATATGCTAACTGTTGCTAAATCGTCTAACAGAAGATGACCTAAAACGATTCTCATAAAAATTAAAATTGGAAGCACAGTAGAAAAATTAAACTCAAAACACACAATACAGGAGCTTACATCACTATTCCAAAGATTGAAATGGACATTTCAAACAAAACTAAGTTTCTCAATAAAAATTCAGCCAGAAGAAACTCCTTATCTCAATGGCTTAACAGAAAAATGTTATCCAGTCTAGAGTCTGCCTAGCAATGAGAAATTGATTTATAAAATTAGCTTTATAATGCAAAGAGTTTTAATATGATGATATTGACAGAATATAAGTGTTGGTTATAAGTTCAAAGGGGGTCTAAAAGTACTAATGATGCCTGAACTTAGAAATCCATGCAATTTACTGAGTAATTCTATGATGTGGGTAGTTTAAAATTGGACTCTCACCATTATTAATTTTTAAACACTGTAGAAGAATGATTTTTCATGTATATTTGAGGACTTTAACATTGACATGGCAAGAGCTAATATAACTTAATTTCAAAATTAATAAATGAAGCTATATTTAAATGGAGCTTTTTAGATTGAGTTGTGAACCCAGCTGATTCAGATAAGTTATTTTTATCTCAGGTTGATAGAAAAAAATATAGACGGAAAATATCAATAACAGAACACAAAGGTAGAAGTCCTCTACAGTAGCATACACTGGGGTTTGCATTTATTTGGGATTTATGGGTGACTTAATAAAAAAGTGGCCATTATTTTTGAATTTTAAGACCACTGAAATCTTTGAGTCTCTGAAGCTCTTTTTTTTTGTCATGTGAACATTTGTAGTCTCTGAGGAAATATAGGACTTAGCAGAATCAGCATCATTTTAAGGATATCAGCCAAGCATTAGTGTCCAGATTTATTTTCCTCATCTAATGATGTGAGAATATAAATGGGTTTTAATATCCTATTTCAGTGCTAACCTATTGCATTACCTGTTTCTGTGGGAGATGTAGGAGAGCACATCATGTTTATTTGATATATGATCAGTGTCTCTAAGAGCTTGGTTTATTAATTGCTTGACACCGAAGATGTAGAAATAATTGAAATGTGATGTGCTTCTGTGTTTTTTCTATAGGCAATCCCTATTGAATCAGGCTTTCTGATGTCTTAAACTTGAAATAAATGGGAAGGGATTTGGCCTATTCATTATGTCTTTCTGTTTTTAGAGGTTGTTTCCAAAACTATCAGACTATTTGAATTTGTAGAGAGAAATATTGTTTAAATGTATCTCATATAATTCAGCAAATATTTTCTTTTCTTTTCTTTTCTTTTTTTTTGACACAGTCTTGCTCTGTCACCAGGCTGGAGTGCAGTGGCGTGGTCTTGGCTCACTGCAACCTCCGCTTCCCGGGTTCAAGCAATTCCCCTGCCTCAGCCTCCCGAGTAGCTGGGACTACAGGTGCGCACCACCACGCCTGGCTAATTTTTTTGTATTTTAGTAGAGACAGGGTTTCACCATGTTGGCCCGGTTGGTCTCAATCTCCTGACCTCGTGATCTGCCTGCCTCGGCCTCCCAAAGTGCTGGGATTACAGGCACAAGCCACTGCGCCTGCCTTCAGCAAATATTTTCTAAGCCGCAACTCTGTGCCATTTCCCATAGTAGCTATTCAGCATTGTGTAAACGAAAACTGTGAGTTCCTGATTTTAAGAATTCCATGGACTTAAACTGGCAATTTGGAAATAGTGAAAAAATATGAATATGTATTTAAAAGCTTGCTACCAGAATCATAATGTAGGAAATATTCTACTGAAGTGAACATGTCTAATCAGAGAATTGGTTATGAAATACAGCCCCCCCTGGGTATGGGCAATCTGATGTAGTTTTTAGAGCCCAGACACTGAAGTGTGACATCTTGGGCTTAAATTCCTGATCTACATTCTCCAATTCTGTGGCTTTTGCCGAGTGCATAGAGGTTGGACCGCAACATTGGGACTGCAACATGAATTAAATAGTTGAATTTGTTTGAAGTACTTACAGTAGTGTCCACTAAGTGTTAGTGACTGATTACCTTTGTTACATCCCATTCTGTGATGTCGCCATTACAAATGGCTTGGTCGTCTTTATCCACTCTACTGTTGCAAAATATATCAAACTGCCATCTCTGGCAGATAATACATGAGATCAAGTTTTGCTTTTCTGGGTGCTGAGATGAAGGGCCCTGATCTAAGAGCTTTGAAAGATACTGTTGGTATTTCTTTTCATACATTTTTGAATGTAAAAGTAATATTTATTATTGAAAATACTCAAACAATATAGAAATACCCCAGGGCAGAGTTTTCTTTGTGGATGTAAATATAGCTGCATATCCACGTGCTATTACTATACTGATCAGTATATTGCTTTTCTTACAAAATGGCTTTATTGAGGTATAATTTATATACCATGAAATTCACAAAGTAAATTCAATAATTTTTAGTAAATTGACAGAGTTAACTGTTTCACCATCACTACAATCCAGCTTTAAAACATTCTCATCACCTCAGAGAGGTCCCTCATGGCCATTTGCAGGCAAGCCCTGTTTCCATCCCAGCCCCAAGCAACCATTGATCTGTTTCTGTCTCTCAAGATTTGCTTTTTCTGGACATTTCATAGAAATAGAATCATACAATGTGTGGTTTTTCATAGCTGTCTTTTAAAACTTAGCCTCATGTATTTGAAGTTTAAACATGTAGTATGTTTCAGTAATTTGCTTTTTTTTTTTTCTTTTTCTTTTTTTTTTTTTAATTTAAGTTTTAGGGTACATGTGCACATTGTGCAGGTTAGTTACATATGTATACATGTGCCATGCTGGTGCGCTGCACCCACTAACTCGTCATCTAGCATTAGGTATATCTCCCAATGCTATCCCTCCCCCCTCCCCCCTCCCCACCACAGTCCCCAGAGTGTGATATTCCCCTTCCTGTGTCCATGCGATCTCATTGTTCAATTCCCACCTATGAGTGAGAATATGCGGTGTTTGGTTTTTTGTTCTTGCGATAGTTTACTGAGAATGATGGTTTCCAATGGGCGAAGGACATGAACAGACACTTCTCAAAAGAAGACACTTATGCAGCCAAAAAACACATGAAAAAATGCTCATCATCACTGGCCATCAGAGAAATGCAAATCAAAACCACTATGAGATATCATCTCACACCAGTAATTTGCTTTTATAACTTAGTATGTCACTGACATCTTCCCATGCTGGTATATAGAGATTTATCTCATTCTTCTTGGTGATTATAGGTTATTTTATTTTATGACTATACCATAATTTTAAATAATTCTTAATGGAATATATTTAAAAATATAGTTTTTTTTGAAGTAACTTAGCCAATTATTACTGTCATCAAATACTACATACCACACATAATTGTATTACTATGCTTTTTAAAAAATAATTTCAACTTTTGTTTAGATTCGGGGGCACATGTGCAGTGTTATGTGAGTTAATTGTATGATGCTAAGATTTGGGATATGAATGATCCTCTTACTCAAGTAGTGAGCAGAATAACCAATAGTTGCTTTTCAACCCTTGCCCTTCTGCCCTCTAGTCGTCCCTCGTGTCTATTGTTGCCGTCTTTATTTCTATGAGTACCCAGTATTTAGTTCCCACTTATAAGCGAGAATGTTTGGTTTTGGTTTTCTGTTTCTGCATTAATTTGCTTAGAGTAATGGCCTCCAACTATATCTGTGGTGCTGCGAAAGACATGATTTCATTCTTTTTTATGGCTGCATGGTAATCTGTGGTGTATAGGTACCACATTTACTTTATCCAATTCATTTATTGATGGGCACCTAGGTTGATTCCATGTCTTTGCTATTGTGAATAACGCTGCGAGGAACATATGCATGAATATGTCTTTTTGGTAATACAATTTATTTTCTTCTGGATACATACCCAGTCACTGGGTCAAAAAATAGCTCTCTTATAGGTTCCTTGAGAAATCTTCAAACTGTTTTCCACAGTGGCTGAACTAATTTACATTACTACACAACAGGGTATGAGTTCCCTTTTCTCTGCAGCTTCACCAACATCTGTTGTTTTTTGATTTTTTAATAGTAGCTATTCTGACTTGTGTGATATAATATCTCATTGTGGTTTTGATTTGTATTTCTCTGATGATTAGTGATGTTGAGCATTTTTTCATTTTGTTGGCTGCTTGTATATCTTCTTTTGAGAATTTTCTGTTTATGTTTTTTGCCCACTTTTTAAAGGGGTCATAAATGGTGCTAGGATAGCTGGCTACCTATATGCAGAACAATGGAACTGAACACTTACCTTCCTCCATATAAAAAATTAACTCAAGATGGATGAAAGATTTAAATGTAAGACCTCAAACTATAAGATTCCTAGAAGAAAACCTAGGAAACACCAGACATCAGGCTCGGGAAAGATTTTATGACTAAGTCCTCAAAAGCAATTGCGACAAAAACAGAAATTGACAAGTGGGACC
Organism: Homo sapiens; assembly: GCF_000001405.40. Taxonomy (NCBI): domain Eukaryota; kingdom Metazoa; phylum Chordata; class Mammalia; order Primates; family Hominidae; genus Homo; species Homo sapiens. The sequence continues at coordinate 53,856,473 of NC_000018.10, read as the reverse complement.
TAATGAAATGAAAGAGCTCCTGCGCAACAAAAGAAGCTATCATCAGAGTAAACAGACAAGCTACAGAATGGAAAAAATATTTGCAATCTGTGCATCTGACAAAGATCTAATATCCAGAACCTATAAAGTACTTCATTTAACAAGCTTAATGAAACATTTTTAAGTTGTTATTTTTTTCATTTTTTATTGTGCATAATTCTACATAAACATTCTTGTGTAGATATCTTGGTGAACTTTCATTAGTACTCCTAAGGATAAATTCCTTGAAGGAGAATTTCTGGGTTGAGCAGCATAATACATTTTAAATTTTGATGCACATTCCAAATTGCTTTATAAAATATTGCACCAATTTATACTCCCATCAATAATAGGACCTGCTCCTCATTGTTTTCACATATACTGTTACTATTTTGAAATCTGTGCTAATATGATAGGTAAAAGATGATAGCTCTTAATTTTAACTTACATTCATTTGGTTATTTAGTGAAGCTAGGTATTTTTTCATATTTGAATTGGCCAAATGCTTTTATGTTTTGGTGGATTACCTACTTATGTTTTTTAACCATGTTTTCTTTTTTATATGTTCCTTGTTAATGTGTAGGAAGTTTTATATATTGAAGCCCATTTTTTCTACCATTTATGTTGTTTTTCTACTGACTTTTTCTGTCATACATTGTGTTTTTCAAGCTTTGGAGTTTTATTTTACTTTTTTAATGCTGTTAAACCTATTAATCATTTCTATTACAATTTCTGGTATGGATGACGTGTTGCTTTTTCCCAGCCTAATGGTTTATAACGTACTTTTATTTTATTTTTGCATTTAAATATATAATTTGTATGGAATTTGATAGCTTTAAAATTTTTTTTTCTTATTCTTCAGTTTTTTATTCTAGGTGAAATAATTTGTTTTTCTTTTTTTTCCTTTTTCTCTCTAGTTGTTTGGAAGTTTTATATCTTTTTCTATCCTTCTACATTTATTTTGAAAAACCATTTTAATACATAGATAATTTTACAGTTTCTACACAATTCTCTCCAAAGAAGATGAAACCTTTAGCTTTGTTTTACTTCATTTCCCCCTGCTTTTTTCTTACACAACCTAACCCTATTCTTAAATTTCAGGTTTTGCTTAAATCATTTGGAATTTTAGGTTACTAGTTTTCTTACCACTGTTTTCTGATGGTTGTATCTCTCCTATTCTGGATGTTCATTTCTGTTTTTCTGGTTTATTTGTATTTTGGCTGGAGGTGTTCCCTGAGTAATTTTCCCCTGGAAACCAATTCTTAAATCGTTTCTGAGTACTTGATGATCCAAAATATCATTTGTATACTTTTGTATGGAGAAAAACAGTCTAAAGTCTTTGAGGTGAAAACTTCTTTCTCTGAAGGAAGAGGAGGGATTGCAAGACAGGTCTGTAGTGAGAGAATGTGGGAGAAGAGCGATGGTAGAAGAGGTGGCAGAGGCAAAAATGGACAATCATGTTTGGTATGGAGGCCCTTACAAGAGAGTTTGGGGTATTTTTTTGTATTCTCTTTGGCACTAGGAAGCCACTTACAGCAAGCAATATCAAAGCTACCATATTACCTTGGATTCCTTGATTATTTTGTGCTCTTCCACTCCAAACAGCCACCACCAGTATCTGTGGTTAGGGACTGTTCCACTCCTGAGTCTGCTTTGGTTTTCCATAAAACAGGAAGGATCTTGGAATGTTTGTTTCCCTGAAACAATCCTTAACCAATGGCTGACAGTGCAGGGGCATAAGTACCCCAGCTCCCATGTCTCTAGTGGGAGTGACTCTGAGGGACAACCAACACTGTCTCCAACTTCCTTGTGTGACTGAGCTAAAATTCCCATTCATGGGGCTTACTTGATAGTGTATCCCTGTTTAGTTTTGTGTTCTTCTCTGGTTCACTTTCCCACTCTCCCCAGATTTTCCTGCGAATACTTCCAAATAAATCAATTTCACATGAATTTTCATCACAGAGTCTCAGGAACATAACTCAACACCTGCTGGAAGGATTGATCTCCCTCTCTCTTTTCTTTCCTATAGTGGCTGTCTTCAGTAGCACTGCGTGAGATAACAATACTTACCTCATCTCTGACAAACTAAAAAGTTCATACTGTAGTAATTCCCCATAACCAAAAATTCTATCTTCACTGAAAACTAGAAATGCTGCCCTCATCCCTCCTTGACTGAGTTTTCTCAGAGCCGATATTTTACCATTGGGGTATAAATCTCAACAGAACTGACAGATACCAGGTTGTAGTGTCACTCTTCTACCCATTGTGTGCGCTCCATGGTGTAAGGGTTCCTTCCACAGAAGCCATGCTTAGGAGTTTAATGAGAAAGCTCTTCTAGTTCATGAATACAGGCCTTTTCTCCTGCTGTTTTCACATTCAGGCAAGAGAACGGGGTCTGGAAGGCTTTCAAACCTCAAAAACCATGACTTTGACTATTTTGTTGAATCTGGTTACTTGAGCCAGACTTCTTTCATAGTGGACTACCTTCAAGGTTTCAAATTCCCTCTTGGAATCTAGCCTCTGTTCATCCTCTCCTTGCCTCCAGTTGCTTGACTTATCTATATTTGACTAGTTCCTGTCTTTGGGCACTAAAAAGTATATCCATATGGCTAATAAATATTTGGGAAGGTTCCTAAATGTATTAGTCACTATGACACAAATCCACAATGAGATATCACTACATACCCAGAAAAATCTCAAAAGTTAAAAAATATTACACTAATTACAAGTGTTGGTAAGGTTTTAGAGTAACTAGAACTCTCATAAACTTCTGGCAGGAGTAAAAATTGATGCAGTCACTTGGAAAAACTGTTTAGTATTTTCTACTAAAACTGAACATACTCTCAATCTATGACCCCCCAAATTCAACCCTTATAGACCCAATAGCAATGCATGCGGCTTGGTACCAACAGCCATGCACTACATTTTTTGTCGTAGCCTTATCTGTGATAGCTAAAGCTTGGAAACAACCCATGTGCCCATCAACAGTATATTAAATAAACAATTTTTAACACTCGTATCATGAAGTGCCATTGCAATAAGTGAACTTCTGCTGAACACAACATGAATGATTGTCACGAGCGTGACAATAAGCAAAAGAGCCCAGATATCAAAGAATACATAATGTGTAGTTTGGCTTGCATAAAGTCTTAAAGGTACACAACACATTTATAGTGTTGCAGAAAAGGGTAATTGTTACTTTTGGGAACAAGAGAGGAAGTGTTGATTGAGCAACGGTATAAAGGATTCATCTGGGGGGCTAGCAAAATTTTATTTCATTACCTGGTTGTGAGTTCATAGATCTTTGTTTCCTGAAAATTATTGAGTTGTGCACACATGTTACACCTTGTGTATGTGTGTTACATTCCATTATGATTTTAAAGTAAAAGGAGAGAGAGAGACTATCCTGGCAGCTGGGGGATGGGGGCAAAAAGAGGGTAGTTAAGAAAATTAGATTGGAAGTTATTATAGTAATTACAGTAATCTTGACAAAGAGCACTTATTAAGGATGTGTTGTGTGCTCTACACAGCAGCCCCATAAGGAATCATTTATCTGCATTTTATAACTGAGAAAACTAAGATACAGGCTTATTAGGGACAATGCTCAAGGTCACACAGGTATTTAGTGGTAAAGCTGGAATTTGAAACTAAGCCAGTCAGTTGGACTCTAGAATATGTATACTTACACATCAGGTTATAAACTTTTGGGATACTGGTATTTGGAAAAGATAATTTTGGTATTGATGAGATGAATTGGTGAGAAGTGGTTAGATTAAGAATACATTTTGCTTTTGCTGCTGAATCTGCTATTTGGTGTTAGGGAGCAATAGAAATTACAGATAACTTCTATATTCTTTTGTTGGCAATTAAGTGGATGATGTTACTGACTTGTGACAAAATGAATAATTACAAGGGTATTAAGGGTAAAAAAAATTAAGAGTTCTAGTTGGGCCTTGCAAGTTTGAGACATATATTAGACATCCAAGTACGTAGGTCAAATAGGCAACTGGATCTATAGGTCTTTAGAATCTATAGATCTGGAAGGAGAGCAGGCTGGAAATATAAATTCAGGAGTTATCAAATTATGGATAAATTTTAGGCCATAGGAGGTGATGAAATTATCTAGGGAGAGGCTGCAAAGAAAAAGGAATATAGAGGCAGAACTGAGCCCTAAATTTAGGGGAAAGAAAAAGACTAGGATCCAGCAAATTTGTGGAAGAGAAGAAATCAGAAGAAAATTTCCCAGAATTGAAAAAGTACACAAATGTTCAGACTGAAATACAAATTTTCAGACAGTACTAACCATAATGACTCTGTTAAAGAGATACCTAAACCAATTTTTATGAAATTTCAAAACACAAAAAATGAGAAGAATGTCCCCAAAAATGGGCCATGGAGAGGTTTAAACAAAAGTTGGCTACAACGTAGTGAAATTAGACTTCTTACCAACAACACATTGTACTCACAGAAAATAGCCAATACAGCATATGTGATGGTAGAATGAAAACATATTCAGATTCATCAAAATGCCTAGGTACCTCTTCATAGAAAGTTTCTTGAGGATATACTCCAGAAAAATAGCAAATAAAGAATAAAGCCATAGGATGCAGGAAACAGAAGATCCAAACCAGAGTGCAGTGAGGGAAAGTGTGTATTAGCCTGGAAAGCAACTAATCCACATATGGAAAGAGAATTAAGACTCCAAAAGGAAGATCTTTGAAAGGGAAAGAAAGGGAAAACAAAATGACACATAATATTATTGTGAATCTAGAAATATTTGAGAATATGCTAAAGGAAATTGGTAAACTGTAAAGAAAAAAAAGAACCCAGTTGAACTAATTCTAAGTCCATTCTACTTTAAGTGAAGAACATGCCACTGGAGGAAGAAATGGAGTCACAGCTTATTACCTAACTCGTTATTAACATGGCATAGTAAATTAATTTAGAATCAGCTGATAGATCATGGAAGACTGTGCTAAGATTATAGGACAAATTATAAACAGTATCAACCGGCCATTATTAAAAGTGTGGACAGAGATGAGAGATGGAAGAAGGAAGAAAGAGAGAAGGAAAGGGTGGGGGCTTTAGTGTCCTGTTGACTTAAAAAGAATAAAACCAAGATATATTCTCTATAATTTATAGACCAAGAAATGAAAATTTAACTAGTGTTGTTGTTATTGCAGAGGTGTTCAGAGGGAAAGCTATAGTGATAAAACTAGAGAGAAAGGTTTGAGAAAGTGGGGAGTGGTGTGAATGAAATCCTCTCATAGCAGGAGGCCAACAGATAAATAGTGGAATAAATGTGCTAATTAAGTATTTGAAGGCAAGGCTCTGGAAAACAAAAAGCAAGCAGTTAAAAGGGTGCCTCTGGGGATTAAGACTCTGTGGGTGGGGAGGCATGGAAAAGAGAATTATTGATTTTCTCTATAAGCCCTTCTGTTCTTTTTGCTTCCTAAACAATATTCACTTTTCTTTATGAAGCAAAGAAAATTAAATGAAAAATTAAATTATAAATAGGAAATTGTTATAAAATAAGGACATTAATTAAGAAGATACTGACAAAAAGTTTAAAACAAAGAACCCACACAGGAAACCTGGAGTTTGCGTTTAAAAATACCACAATTGGAAGCCTAGACCTAGACCAGTTCTTTGAACTGAAATCCTATAGGACTAATTTGCAAAAGACAATTTTAAGAAAAAGAAAAAAAAAGGATTTTCTGAAAATGAAATGAGAAGGATAGAAACATTGCAAAGTTGCAGATCAGAAATCAGGCATATTGGCAGGCCTCTCCCCACCCCATTTTCACTGCCAAAGTTTACAAAACCTGTTATAATGACTTCAGAACCAATATTAAAAAATAATTAAAACATGAAAGGCAAGAAAACACCTAAGAATTAATTGAACTAACTGAAGATTATGGATAAAAAGGAGATAATACATAGTAGACATTGTAGGTGAAGTGTTTCTTAGGTCTTTATTGAAAAAGCAATTAAAGAGATTCTCCCTCTTTTAATTGTTTTTTGAAGTAATTAGATGGAAAGAAATGGATCAAATAACGGCAAATAAGGAGCGAGAATTCAGAAAAAAAGATGAAATCATTTGGCACAAGTGCCACCAGTCTCTTCTCCTGTACCTATATGAAGATGATCTCAGAAAGTTCCTCTACAGTTTTCCAGGATAGCAGCTGGGATTGGTATGTGATATGAGGCCTATGGTACAAGCAAACCCAACTGAAAACAGAAGATAAATAAATCACTTAGCTCCTATTAAATTTCTTCAAGAATTAGACCAAAATGTAACAGGTTTAAGAGAAAGAACACTTCATTGCATTCTGTGGCACAAATATGAAATATCTTCTAGAAGAGGCAAGAACTCAGAATTAGTGGAGCCAAAGATACTTTGGCCAAGGAAGTTATCCAGTGACCTAGTTTCATCTCAGTTTACAAGACCATGATCCATGGTTTAGTTCAAGTCACACTTGAGATAAAGACATTAGTAACACATTACACAGAATTAAAGAATTGAGGTTAAATGTTAAGTGACATGTCCAAGATCAGAAATAAAATTAATAGAAAATCTGACTCAATCTTAGGTGCCTGGTGTCCTAGTCTAAACCCCTTACACTAAATAACATAACAGTAATGTCACAACATATCAAATCCATTCAAGATCCTAACACTAGAGGCTTTAAGTTTAAGAAGCCAGTTGTGATAACTGGAAAATGGCTGTACTGGGCACTGTTACCTTTATGTACTTCTTGGTCCCTAAAGAGCTGGTGTCTTTTATAGTTTTCCTTCAAATGGTAGATACTACAGAATTAAAAGGTGTGTCAGAGACTGGTAGGTATCCACTAGTGAACCTACGTCCTGAATTGTCCAGAAAATTCCTATTTCACATCTGTTGTCACAGCACAATTAGCATTGGCATCATTTTTCTTTCTTAATAGTATGCTATGTTGGAAGATAATTCCTGCATTTCTGTACACACTATGAGGGAGGCAGTAAATGTCCTTTGTTCTGGACTATCTTTTCAAGAATATTTATATAGTGAACAGCCTTGGAAAATAGAGTTAGTTTTTCTCCAGAGCAAAAGGCAGGCATATACTGCTGTTATAAAAGATTTGGATCCCTAAATTAAAAGTTCCTTTCCTGTAATGCCACCAACTGTGTGCATAGGCATCTATCTGCATTGTGCCTGTGGGACTTGGGGACAAAGTAAACTGGTGGAAATATGATGATGCTCATGCTGCTTGCAGAGCAATGAGTAATAAGCCCCCATTCTTCACATTACACATATCTAGTATTGCCATACAATTTAAATATACTACAAGCACACAAGTACAGGGCAGTAGGAGTACAGGGAAAATCTTTGCAATGAGTAAAAGTAAATGTATGATATCTGATATTAGTTATCCAGCTCCAGATGAAGACATGCACATAGAGACATAATTTGAGCCATGCAAGCTAACAATCAAGGTAAGACTGAGAAATTGCAAGTGTGAAATGTACTCAGGGGAGGATGAATGATTTACACTAAAGTGATGTGGTCGGCAGCTTCTTTCAATTCTCATTGTTATGTCCTAGAAGTCCAATTCACTGCCTTATTGAAATGGCTTCATTAAGCAAGTACAATTTGAAGAGGGATCTCAGAGAATTCAAATACTTTCCATGGCAAATGAGCAAGGGAAAACTGGCTAACAACTGACTTCATAAATCAAGCAGTATCTGTATGTAATACATTTCACAAAATGCTTATTGTATAGTTGAGATACAATGATTTCAAGGCAAAGTTTGTTACCTAAAAAACATGAAATTTTGTTTGTCTTCAGTACCAACATTAAAAATACCAATTCAATTTTGTAGCAGGGAAGGAAGTAGTTAGGCAGTTTCATGGAGAATATGGGACTAGAGGTATGCCCTGAAAAATAGAATGTTGGGAAGTGGAAATCTTGTTAATAGTTGAATATGACCAAATGGTTCCTCATTTAATGGAAAGGTTTTAATAACAAGTGTCTTAATATTATTATTGTCTCTTGGAATCTTTAGATTAGTGCAAGGTTGCTCTTAGGGCATGAAACTTCCTGAAGATGAAATAGAAACTTTGATAGGGAGTACTGGATTTGAGATAGATAGTATTCAGAATTCTTAGGTGCCATATATAATACTGAAAAGGGAAAGATTCCTTTGGGTTGAGATTCCTTAGACATGTTCTTTTGGAGTAAATGGGGGAGTTAGACAGGGTTTTAAAGGAATTGAGAATAAATGTGGCTCAAATAAACTCTTGGGCTAAGCTCTGTGATATGGTTTGTCCCTACCCAAATCTCATCTTGAATTGTGGTTCCTGTAATCCCCACATGTCATGGGAGGGACATGTGGGAGGTAACTGAATCATAGAGGCAGTTACCCTCATGCTGTTCTCATGATAATGAGTGAGTTCTTAGGCGATCTGATGGTCTTATAAAGGGTTTTTCCTTCTTTTATCATTCTTCTCCTTCCTGCCTCCATGTGAAGAAGGATGAGTTTGCTTACCCTTTTGCCATGATTGTAAGTTTCCTGAGGCCTCCCCAGCCATGTGGAACTGTGAGTCAATTAAATCTCTTTCCTTTATGAAGTACCCAGTCTCAGGCAGTTCTTTATTGCAGTGTGAGAACAGAATAATATGCGCTATCTTTGCTACTATTCATGTTTTTTTAAAAAATGTAATTGTAGTAAAATACACCTAACATAAAATTTACCATCTTAACCACTTTTAAGTATACAGTTCAGTGGTATTGTGTTCACAGTGTTGCACAGCCAATATTCAAAACTTTTCTGTCTTGCAAAATGTTACTGTATATCCTAAAACACAACTCCCTATTTTCCCCTCCCGTAAGCCCCTGGCAACCACTTAAGAACTTTCTTTTTCTATGAATCTGACTATTCCAGATACCTCATGTAAGTGGAATAATGCAGTATTTGTATTTTTGTGACTGGCTTATTTCACATATTCTCAAGGTGCATCCATGTAGCATGTGTCATAATTTCCTTTTTAAGGCTGAATAATATTCCATTGTATACATATACACCACAATTTGTTTATTCATCCATTGATGGACATGTAGGTTGCTTTTAACTCTGGCTATTGTGAATAATGCTGCTATGTACAAGGGTGTATAAATATCTCTCTGGGACCTGACTTTCAATTCTTTTAAATATATACCTATAAGTAGAATTGCTAGATCATATGGTAATTACAGGTTTAAGTTTTTAGGTACTGCCATACTGTTTTTTATACAACTGTACCATTTTTGTTTCCACCAACAGTTTATACAGTATATAAGGATTTCAGTTTCTCCATATTCTTACCAACACTTGTTATTTTCTGATTTTTTTAATAGTAGCCATTGTAATGAGTGTAAAGTGATATATCATTGCATCACTCTATTGATTAGTGATGTTGAGCATCTTTTCATATGCTTGCTGGCCTATTTGTGTAACTTTTTCAGATAAATGTCTATTAGAGTCCTTTGGTCATTTTTTAATCAGTTTTTTTTTGTTGTTATTTTGTTGCTGAGTTGTAGGAGTTCTTTATGTGTTCTGGACATTAACCTCTTCTCTTATATATTATTTGTAAATATTGTTTTCCATTTCACAGGTTGCCATTTAACTCTGTTGATTATGTCCTTTGATGCACAGAAGTTTTTAATTTTGATTTAGTACAGTTTATTAATACTTTTACTTTTGATACCTTTTGCTTTTGGTTTCATAGCCAAGAAATCATTGCCAAATCCAATGTAATGAAATATTTCCCCTATGACTTGAGATTTTTAAAGGCTTGTTTAGATCTTTGATTCATTTTAAGTTTTTTTTTTTTTTTAAATACTGTATGAGGTAAGGATCCAACTTCATTCTTTCAGATGTGGATATCTGATTTTCACAACACCATTTGTTGAAGAAACTCTCCTTTCCCCATTGAATCGTCTTGGTACCCTTGCCAAAAGTCATATGACAATATTTCTGACCTCTTCATTCTATTCCACTGTTCTACATATCTGTCTTCATGGCAGTACCACACTATTTTTATTACTGTAGCTTTGTAATACATTTTAAAATCAAAGTGTGAGACATACAACTTTTTTTTTTTTTTTAAGATTGCTGTGGCTCTTTGGTGTCCCCGAGATGCCATATGAATTTTAGAATGGGTTTTTCTATTTCTGCAAAAAACACCATTGGGGTCTTGACAGGGATTGCATAAAATCTGTAGGTTACTTCAGGTAACACTGACATCTTAACAATATTAAATCTTCCAATCCATGAACAAAGAATGGCATTCCATTTGTTTGTATCTTCAATTTATTTTAACAACATTTTATAGTTTTCAGTGTCTTCTTGGTTTACTCCTAAGTACTTTACTTTTTCAATGCTATTATAAATGAAGTTGTTTTTCATATTTTATTTTCAGATTGTTTATTGCTGGTGTAAATAAACACAATTGATTTTTGCCTGTTGATTTCCTATTCTGCAACTTTGCTGAATTACTATTTTTATGTGTGTGTGTGTGTGTGTGTGTGTGTGTGTGTGTGTGATCTTTTTTTTTTTTTTGAGAATGAGTTTTGCTCTTGTTGGCCAGGCTTGAGTGCAATGGCACGGTCTTGGCTCACTGCAACCTCCACTTCCTGTGTTCAAGCGATTCTCCTGCCTCAGCCTCCCAAGTAGCTGAGATGACATGCATGCGCCACTATGCCTGGCTAATTTTTTTGTATTTTTAGTAAAGATGGGATTTCTCCATGTTGGTTAGGCTGGTCTCGAACTCCCTACCTCAAGTGATCCACCTGCCTTGGCCTCCCAAAGTGCTGGGATTACAGGCATGAGCCACTGTGCCCGGCCCCGTGTGTGTGTAATCGTTAGAGTTCTGTATGTAATAGATCATGTTGTCTGGAACCAGAGATAATTTTACATCTTTCTTTCGAATTTTGAATGCCATTTCTTTTACTTGCCTAATTGTTCTGGTTGGAGCTCTAGTACTACATGAATAGAAGTAGAAAAAGCAGATATTCTTGATCATTCTTGATCTTTCCTGATCTTAGAGGAAAAGTTGTCAGCCTTTCACCATTGAGTATGGTGTTTCACCATGGAAGCTATTACTCACTTTTCCACTTGGCCTTATGTTATAAGACAGTCTACTCTGAAGTAAAATAGTCTTATCTCTTGAGACAGTTAAGAGTAATGTTGTGATTTACTAAGTAAAATTTTATATTATTTTCTTCCCTTTAGTCTACTAAATAAGCAGTTTAAAAAAGGCCCAGAAGGCAGCCATGACTGTGTGTTAGTTAATGACATTGATGGCAATGGGAAGTGGACAGAGTTTCCTGACTCTTGGGACAGTGCTGCTTCTATGATGCTAAAGTCCTTCAGATCTAAGAATTTGTTGCAGTTGTCAATTGAACTTTGTTGTAAGTAACTCTTATATTCACCTCTCCTCCTCACTTCTTGCAATGAACTCTTTCTTCTTTCAATCCAAATACGTTGATGCCCAGTGCCTACTGTTCCTATCTCCTCTTTAAAGCTTTTTCTGACTCAGATTCAAATAGGCATGTTTTCTAGTGCTGAAATTGTGTTATATCACAAAGGTTCTCAATAGCACAGCAACATTGCCTATAGTCTCTACAAGTAGATCTCTCATGTTAATAACTGTGCCTCTTTTTTTCAAATGGACAAAATGTGATGAATGAAATACAACATTCACTTACTGGCAGTCTTCTGAAGTCAGAACATTGGGCAACATATCTAAATCAGAACTTTGTTTACACCCAGTAGATTGGAAATCTGAGATAATTTCAAGAAAACCAAGTAGACTTATTTTGAGTTTTATTATCTAGGCATTTGTGTATGCAAATGTAAGTTCATCATAGAATGTGGTAACTGAGGAACAATATATCTAGATAATCTGAAATAGTATATACATATTCCATTCCATTCTTGAGTATTTTCTTAATCTCATATATATTTAGGAATATATATAAATATATAGGAATATATATTTATATATTTAGAAATGAGCATTTATATATATATATAATATGTCTGTATATGGGCTTATTAAATATTTGGCTCTTGTAAAAGTCATAGCTGTTTCAGTGAATATGTTGTCCAAGTGAACACTGTTTTTCTCCTCAAACTTTAGCATTCATTGAAATGCCACTTGTCTTTTTACGGAAAAATACCCCTCTTCTCCCTGCCCACCTCCCCAGAATAGGTAGTTATGGATGTTATGCATTACTTAAGGCAAGTCAGAATGTTAGGAGAAGTACATCAACAAAATAATCTTCAATAAAAATAAGCATTTGAAAGAAAAACATGTCATTTTCATGCCCTAGGCTACTTTTGATAAGGAAATAAATGACAATGATAACAAATGACATTTATTTGGCACCCACTGCATAGTCAGCATCAGGGATCTCTGCCACAGGCTGGTTTGTGTTAAAGAAGAGTTGTTCTGCTGAATATGGACTTATGTAAATGTCAGAAGAAACTCCTAAACAGCTACTCCTGACAACTGAGATCATCTTTAGTCTACTCTTTCAGAATTTTCTTCTGCTCGAGATGGGAAAAATGGTAGTGAGGAAGATTTCTCTTTGATAGATTTCAAACTTATTATGAGTTGAAAACCATAAAACAAAGAGCTCTCTGATGTTCCCTGTTGGAGGGACAGAGCTGGAAGATGGAGGAGATTTATTAGCTTACTTGGTCATATTGTGAGGGGCTTGAAGGGATGTGGATTTCCAAGAGGCCCAGGTTTCTTTGCCCCAAACGTACCCTCTGTGTTTTATATTCGGTAGTAAAATATGTGAGCAGCGTTCTGTGGAAGACACACAATTTCCTGTCCATATGTGCTGTGCTACCAATCATTGGCCACAAGCTCAGAGTGTGTCACCCTCAAAGATAAATCGTTCTTCATTCGAGAAGGGCTGTTGCAGCAATATGGCATGTGATTATTTGAATAAGAACAGAATGATAAAATTGTAATTGGGAAAAAGGGCTAGGGAAGCAGGTTTATAGACTCTAGAGGTAGAAAACAGAAGAGAACTCTCTGGGATTCCCAAATAATTTTAACCAGCAGCCCAATTTAATGTATTGAGTCATCTGAATTGCCTATGAATCACCCAGCCCTCTATATTTTACAGGCACTCTTTCTTGCTGTTAGTGACACTGTGTGTATTCTGATATTATGTAGCTTAAGTTTCTGCCATTTCCAGAAGGGAAAGAAGGTGTTGCACTCCTCTAATATGTTGGAGAGAGCTGGCCCCCAGGAGCTGTCTGTGCACTGATGTGGGGACATTTCCTCTCAATGTTGGCTGAGAGTCAGGTCTGATTGCTCCACATATTCTAAGATGAGACACCAGAGCTCCCTGATGTGGGACTAGGCACTTGTCCCCTCAATCAATTAACATTAAAATTAACATTGCAGAGGCTGAGCGTGGTTAAAGATTGGAGAATTTTAGTTCTCTGTGCTTTTCCCTCACATCAAGGCTAATTAGAGGGGCTTTGAGGATAACACTTGGAGAACTTTTGTGTGGCCTCTGCATTGGCAAGATAGTAGACAGTGATCTCACTCTTGCCTGAGAGTTCTAACAGGCAATGTGAACTATAGCCAGGGTGCAGCATTTGTGTTTGGGACTGTGCCGCATTCCCACAAATTATGGGTTACACACCTGTGTCTCCCAAGGCTAGTGGTGATCAGGGAGAGAGAAAGCCTGCTAGGGTCTATAGTCACCTTGCAGGGACTCTTCCAAGATGGCTTTCTGGAGGGGAATGGAGCCCCCAAGAAAGAGTCTGTGAAGAGGAGGACTACAGAGAAGCAGGAGCCTAAATGGTTAGCAGGTGCAGCCAGGAAGTGTACCACTGTGGCAGAGAATGACAGGGGATAGGTCCATAGCAATGAGGGCTCTGCAAAAATGCACAAAGATAGCCATGGGAGAGGCAGCTTTAAATCCATAGTGAGACAAATACAACTCCAGGAGGATTCTAATCTGAAAAGATGTTATCTACACTCTTATTTTTTTTACCCTCTTCTCCACGTCTCTGCTGTAGAGTAACTTTCAGATACTTCAGTTCAAAAGATTTCCAAACTCCACTCTACTTCTTTCTTCTGGCAATAGTCTTCAGACAAACCTGCCAAAGTTTGAAACTTTGGTATTGCATTGGAATGAATTTTTTATTTTTTTAGATGAAGTCTTGCTCTGTTGCCCAAGCTGGAGAGTGCAGAGGCACGATCTCAGCTCAATGCAACATCCACCTCCCGGGTTCAAGCGATTCCCCTGCCTCAGCCTCCCAAGTAGCTGGGACTACAGTAATGTGCCACCATGCCTAGCTAATTATTGTATTTTTAGTACAGACAATGTTTCACTATGTTGGCCAGGCTGGTCTTGAACTCCTGACCTCGTGATCCACCTGCCTCAGCCTCCCAAAGTGCTGGGATTACAGGTGTGAGCCACCGCACCCAGCCAGGAAGGAATTTTTATGATTCAACTCTGACTGTTTTAGGGGCCAACATGATGGATAAGATTTAGTCATGTGAGTGAGTGCATATACATTGCAGAACTTGCCCTGGTTTTCATTCAGGGGAAGAAAGAACAAAATCTGCAGACTAGGTTTGAGAAAGTAAAAGTAAAAGGAAGAAAGGACCTAATTTGTTCAATGCATTAATCACATAAGTAAAAACTGTTTGCTTGATATTCAATTGTCACTCCAAGATCAATTACCCAACTCTGCCCTCCTCATACTATGAGATGGCTGCCTTATTTGAAACTTGTCTTCATTGTGGAGACCAGATTGCAACAGGTGCTTTCCCATGTTCTTCCTGATTGCAGGCTAAATACTTAAAGGGAAGAACTCTTTGATCCTGAACCTATGAAGAGAAAGCCATTATTACTGCTGTTTTGGAGGTTGCCAAGATATTCCTGTTTATAAGCTTTGGCTTCTTCCTCAGTCCCTGCTTTTAAGCTCTTCTTCTGGCCTTGAAAGCCTCTTATTCAATTCCATATCTGACTCTGATAATTCCATTAAGCTGATCCCTCACCCCAGCGTGTTACCCATGAATAGAATATCTCCTGAGAGCTAACCATCTTTCTTCCTAGACTTGTAAGAACCCCCATACTGAGGGATAAGAAACCTTCCCTAACTTCTAAGTCCGTTTGCTGTGATCCATTGCTGTTCCTGGGAACATTGGTTGCTGGAACTTGCCTGGAAGAGCACGATGGGGGATTGCTCTTCTGCTTGGAGACTGTACTTCTCATAGCCAGACTGAAACTATTAAAGTGAGTCTACCAGCCCTAGAACTTGTTCCACCATAGGAGGCAGTTGCCAGCTTTTTCTTTTTTTTTTTCTTTTTTTTTTTTTTTTGAGATGGAGTCTCGCTCTGTCGCCCAGGCCGGACTGCGGACTGCAGTGGCGCAATCTCGGCTCACTGCAAGCTCCGCCTCCCGGGTTCACGCCATTCTCCTGCCTCAGCCTCCCGAGTAGCTGGGACTACAGGCGCCCGCCACCGCGCCCGGCTAATTTTTTGTATTTTTAGTAGAGACGGGGTTTCACCTTGTTAGCCAGGATGGTCTCGATCTCCTGACCTCATGATCCACCTGCCTCGGCCTCCCAAAGTGCTGGGATTACAGGCGTGAGCCACCGCGCCCGGCCTAGTTGCCAGCTTTTTCTCAGGCCTAAAATAGATAAACTTATGTGGAAAACTAAGTCCAAAAATGTTGTGGGATTAGTGTAAATTTAGTCCAATATTCTGTATCATCTTCATTTCTCAATGAAGATGGACTTTAAAATGGACCCTAACAATGATCTTGAGGCTGAAAGTAAAGTTTAATGGATACCATTTGCTGATAATAAAAGAAACCGGTCTTTTTAAAAATAGCTAATATCCTTCAGACACTTTGCTAGTATTTTGTATGTGCTATGTTTCAGCTACCTTCAAAAGTAGCATTTTATGGTCTGCTTATTTATAGATGAGGAGACTGAACCCTGAGTGGGCTGATTCCAAAACAATGCATTTACCCCAACGTGTGCCACCATTATGTCACACTGGCTTATTGGGGATTGAGCAACACTAGAAGTTATTGTTTGTTTGTTTTTCACTAAATCTGAGTTGGTTTTATTTAAAACAGTGTTTCTCAACCAGGGGTGATTTTTGCCCCCCCGGGGGACACTTGGCAATGTCCAGAAACAATTTTAGTTGTCACAACTTTGGTGAGGGTGCTATTGGCATCCAGCGAGTAGAAGCCAGTGATGCTGCTAAACAGTGTACAGTACGCAGGACAACTCCCTACAGCAAAGAATTATGCAGTGCCAAATGTCAGTAGTGGTGAGGTGGAGATACTCTGGTTTAGAGAAATTTTGAAAAGCAGATTATGTGACTGAATAGACAGTTGGATTTGGCAGATTTGGCAGTTTTGGCTAAATATGTTACTAAAACAATGGGTGGTTGGGATAGGATTTTATGAGAAAATACAAAATCAATCTTATTTTGTGATTACTGCAAGTCCCCAGAAGTATTACAGATTTTAAAATGTTGGTATATATGGGCTGTCTGAGCAGGAAATGTCCTCTGGGAGCCCCTCTTGCCTGGAATGAACCTAGTTAAGAATGGTCATTTCAGGTGGGCCTGGTTGATTCTGTCTTATACCGGATGTTTGTGAATTAAAAACTGTATTTTGAGAAGCCTGGCAGATTATAAAGCAGAATGACCAAACTCTTTACTAGCTGCATCTGAGATGTCATCAAGGAATCTTGCATTGCTTTCCAGAGTTTTTACCTCTTTGTCTTTCTTAATATCTTCTGAAATCCAAAACATACCTCATAGTAGAGTTCTGAAAATCCAGGTGAGTATCTTACTTCATTTATTGTCATAAGAATAAAGTCATGCATGTTTGCTCACTGGAACAAATTACCCACTTATTGAATCAGGAAAGTACAATATTACTTACAAACTGTTCTCCACTGGTGCCCATAGCAGAGGAAAGATTTTTCTGGCATAGTGTAATGGCATCCAAAATATTATACCATTAATTCAAGAAACCAGACAGTAAGAAAAAAACTAGCAGGCCCTGAGCAGCAGTAATGTTCTACTCCTGGAGCTGATTAGTTATTTGAAATACAAAACAACAGAGAAACCAAGTGACTGGAATGGAAAAAGAAATATAATAATGATTTGAGAAAAGAGCTTGGAAAGAGAGATGTAATCACCTATTGGCCAACTTAATTCTTGACTTCTAAAGTGAATTAGAAGTGGGAAGAAACACACTTCCTTTTAATGTAATAAAGTGAGTCCAAGTGTAATTCTTAATGATGTTGTCCAAACTGCATTCATATTGCTGCTGCTGCCCAGAGAAGTATAAATGAATGTAAACATCTGTGCATACCCCGTGCATTTGTTGCACAACATGCTCATGCTATAAAGATCCCCATAAAACAAAGCAGCCTGGATATTACTCAGGCTTATTTTATAATGCTGCCTGTGTTCAAAAATGCATAGAGAGGGTTATTATGTACTCATAAATTCAGGCCAATTAGGCAGAGAAACATTCCGAGCATAATGCCACATGTTCCAGCATTCTATCACCTCCTTTAGGTGCTATTCTGTGGGAACAAGAAGCCTCAACGGAACTTTACACACAACTTGTTTTCCTGGCAAGCAGAGAACACACGTTTCTAGGATTTGGGTTGTATAAATCTACTGTTTTATATGGGATGGTGTCCAATAACTCCTAAATTATCTGCATTTCAGAAGAATGGGAAATAATATAATGATAGCATGGGAAAAAGGGTATGGAGACAGAATTTAAGAGCAGTTGGTGGGGGCAGATTTTGCAAATGCAGAAAATCATACACGTTAGAGTAAATGTGCTTATCTCATTGTTCTAGCATGTTAAGCTTTATCCCTGAATATTTAAAAAGTATAAAACTCATTTTAGGAAGTATCAATTCACAAGGAAGTAGTAAACATTTATTTGCCCACTATTTAATTATTAGGAGTATAACTCAATTTATTGTGTACCCGCTGAGTGCCAAATATTATATAATATGCTCAGGACAAAAACTTAAGAAGTTTCACGGGATGTCAGTTTAATAGGGGTGAAAAAGAAACTTATAAACAAATATTACGTAGCAATTACTTTTACACCACCCATTGCTTGTTTTAATATAATGCAAGATGATAAATGCAACTAATTCAGTGTAGGAAGAAAAGAAAAAAATTAGAGAAGTATTTAGAAATTAGTTTGGATAATCTTGTTAACTGATTCAGGTTGGAGACCAAAGGAGAGGCACCCCTAAAATGTGCTGATTAGCCTTCCAAAATGGGGAACAAGGATAGAGGTTCTGTGCATCAAGATCATGGTGCACGAAAAAATACACTTTTAAGGGGAACTTGAAGAGTTTAGGAGACTGAATTATTGTTTCTGAATATTCAGGTAGAAATTTCCAGCAACAAGGAAGAAAAATGGGTTCTGGCTATTAGGAGAGCATTCTGAGATTAAAAAAATAGATTTGGGATGCTTTTAGCTTTAGTAAGGCCACCATGTTTTGCTGCTACTTTATGAGCACTGAGGCGGCTTGTGGTTTTGTATGATTTTTCTTTTTTTGGTGTTTCTTATTTATCCTTTTTTTTTTCTTTCCAATGTTTACTTTAGGTTCAGGGGTACATTTGCAGGTTTGTTACATGGGTAAATTGTGTGTTGCAGGGGTTTGATGTACAGATTATTTCATTACCCAAGTAATGAGCACAGTACCTGATAGGTAGTTTTTCCATACTTACCTCCTCCCAACGTCCATCCTCAAGTACGCTCCTGTGTCTAGTTTTCCTTCTTAGATTCCATGTGTGCTCAACTTTTAGCTTCCAGTTACAAGTGAGAACATGCAGTATTTGCTTTTCTGTTTCTGTTAACTTGCTTAGGATAATGACCTCCAGCTACATCCTTGTTGTTGCACAGGACATGATTTCATTCTTTTTTATGGCTACATAGTATTCCGTGGTGTATATGTACCACATTTTCCTTATCCAGTTCACCACCAATGGGCATCTAGGTTGAATCCATGTCTTTACTATTGTGAATAGTGCTGTGATGAACATATGTGTGCATGTTTCTTTACAGTAAATTATTTATATTCCTTTGGTTACATACCTAGTAATGGGATTGCTGGATTGAATGGTAGCTCTGTTTTAAGTTCCTTAAGACATCTCCAGACTGCTTTCCAAAGTGACTGAACTAATTGACATTCCCACCAGCAGTGTATAAGTGTTCCCTTTTTTCCACAGCCTTACCAACATCTGTTATTTTTAGATGTTTTTGTAATAGCCATTCTGATTGGCATGAGATGGTAGGTCATTGTGGTTTTGATTTGCATTTCTCAAATGATTAGTGATGTTGAGCATTTTTCATATGATTGTTGGCCACATATATGTCTTTTGAGAAGTGTCTGTTTATTTATGTCATTTATCTATTTGCTCATTGGGTTGTTTTTTCTTGCTCATTAATTTGTTAAAGCTGCATATAGATTTTGTCAGATGCATAGGTTGTAAATATTTTCTTGCAATCTGCGGGTTGTATACTCCATTGATAGTTTCTTTGGCTGTGTAGAAGGTCTTTTGTTTAATTAGGTCCAACTTGTCAACTTTTGTTTTTGTTACCATTGCTTTTGGAGTCTTCATTATGAAATCTTTTTCAGGGCCTCCAAATCTAGGTGGAGGCTCACAAAATTCAACTCTTTTTATTAGGTTGTCTTCTAGGGATTTTAGAGTTTTATGTTTCACATTTAAGTCTCTTTAATTCATCTTGAGTTGATTCTTGTACATGGTGAAAGGACAAGGTCTGGTTTCAATTTTCTGCATATGGCTAACTAGTTATCTTAGTACCATTTATTAAATACAGAGTCTTTTCCCCATTGCTTGTTTTTGTCAACTTTGTCAAAGCAGATGGTTTTAAGTGTGAAGCTTTATTTTTGAGTTCTCCAACCTTTTTCATTGGTCTATATGTCTGTTTTCATACCAATATCATGCTGTTTTGGTTACTATAGCCTTGCAGTATAGTTTGAAGTCAGATAACATGATGCTTCCAGGTTTGTTCTTTTTACCTGGGATTGCTTTCACTATTTGGGCTCTTTTTTTGGTTCCATATGAAATTTGAAATAGTTTTTTTTTTCTAGTTCTGTGAAGAATGTTTTGGTTGTTTGATAGGAATAATATTGAATCTATAAATTGCTCTGAGCAGTATAGCCATTTTAACAATATTGATTCCTCCTATCTATGGGCATGTAATGTTTTTCTATTTGTGTCATCTCTGATTTCTTTCAGCAGTGTATTGTAATTCTCATTGTAGAGATCTCTTACCTCACTGATTAGCTGTATTCCTAGGTATTCTATTCTCTTTATGGCTAAAGTTAATGGAATTGTATTCTTGATTTGGCTCTCAGCTTGGACATTATTCGTGTTGTATTAGTTTGTTTTCATGATGCTATAAAGTACTACCAGAGTTTGCATAATTTATGAAGAAAAGAGGTTTAATTGACTCACAGTTCTGCAGGTTTAACAGGAAGCATGGCTAGGATGCCTCAGGAAATTTGCAATCATGGCAGAAGGCAAAGAGGAAGCAAGCATGTCTTACCATGGCAGAGCAGGAGAGAGAGGGTGGGAGTGGGGAGGTGCCACATACTTCTAAATGATAGATCTTGTGAGAGTTTACTCATGATCATGAGAACAGCAAGACAGAAATCCACTCCATGATCCAATCACCTCCCACCAGGCTCATTCTCCAATTTGACATGAGATTTGGACAGATACCCAGATCCAAACCACATCATTCCACCCTTGGCCCCTCCCAAATCTCATGTCCTTCTAACATTGCAAAATACAATTATCCCTTCTCAACAATCCCCCAGTCTTAACTAATTTTAGCATTAACTCAAAAGTCCACAGTTTAAACTCTCATCTGAGACAAGGCAACTCCTTTCTGCCTATGAGTATGTAAAAAAAAAAAAAAAAAAAAGAAGTTCGTTATACTCAAGATACAACGGGAATATAGGCATTGGGTAAATGCTCCCATTCCAAATGGGAGAAATTGGCCAAAGCAAACAAAGGTGCTACAGGCCCTCTGCAAGTCCAAAACCCAGCAGGGCAGCCATTAAATCTTAAAGCTCCGAGATGATCTCCTTTGACTCTATGTCTCACATTCAGGTGACACTGATTCAAGGGGTGGGTTCCCAAGGCCTTGGGGAGTTCCACTCCTGGGACTCTGCAGGTTACAGTCCTCATGGCTGCATTCATAGGCTGGCATTGAGTACCTGCAGCTTTTTCAGGCACACAGTGCAAGCTATTGGTGGATTTACGTTTCTTGGGTTTAGAGCATGGTGGCTCTCTTCTCACAGATCTCCTAGGCGGTGACCCAGTGAGGACTCTGTGTGGGAGCTCCAATCTCACTTGTCCCCTCTGCACTGCTGTAGTAGGGGTTCGCCATGAGGGCTCTGCCCCTGCAGCAGACTTCTGCCTGGACATCCAGGTGTTTCCATACATGCTCTGAAATCTAGGTGGAGGTTGCCAAAATTTGAGGCTTGCTCCCTCTTAAGCAATGACCCAAGCTTTACCTTGACTCCTTTTAGTCATGGCTGAAGCTGGAGTAGCTGGGATGCAGGACACCATATCCTGAGTCTGCACAGAGCAGTGGGGCCATGGGCCTGGCCAACAAAACCTGTTTTCCTCAGAGGCCTCCTGAACTGGGATGGGAGGGGCTGCCTCAAAGTTCTCAAACATATTTTGGAGTTGTTTTCCTCATTTCTTGGCTATTAACATTTGGTTCCTCTTGACTTATGCAAATTCTTGCAGCTGGCATGCCTTGAGTTTCTCCCTAGAAAATGGGGTTTTCTTTTCTGCCACATGGTCAAGCTGCAAATTTTCCAAACTTTTATTTTCTGCCTCCCTTTTAAAAATAAGTTCTGGGGCAGTTCCAAGATGACCAAATAGGAGTAGCTCCAGTCTACAGCTCCCAGCATGAGTGACACAGAAGACGGGTGATTTCTGCATTTCCAACTGGGGCTTGTCAGACAGTGGGTGCAGGACAGTGGGTGCAGCCCACTGAGCATGAGCCGAAGCAGGGCGAGGCATCGCCTCACCTGGGAAGCACAAGGGGTCAGGGAATTCCCTTTCTTAGCCAAGGGAAGCCGTGACAGATGGCACCTGGAAAATCAGGTCATTCCCACCCTAATACTGCACTTTTCCAACAGTCTTAGCAAATAGCACACCAAGAGATTATATCCCGTGCCTGGCTTGGAGGGTTCCATGCCCATGAAGCCTCACTCATTGCTAGCACAGTAGTCTGAGATCAAACTGATAGGAGGCAGCGACGCTGGGGGAGGGGCGCTTGCCATTGCTGAGGCTTGAGTAGGTAAACAAAGTGGCCAGGAAGCTCGAACTGGGTGGAGCCCACCACAGCTCGAGAAGGCCTGCCTGCCTCTGTAGACTCCATCTCTGGGGGCAGGACATAGCCAAACAAAAGGAAGCAGAAACATCTGCAGACTTAAATGTCCCTGTCTGACATCTTTGAAGAGAGTAGTGGTTCTCCCAGCACAGAGTTTGAGATCTGAGAAAGGACAGACTGTCTCCTGAAGTGGGTCCCTGAGCCCCGAGTAGCCTATCTGGGAAGCACCCCCCAGTAGGGGCAGACTGACAACTCACATGGCTGTGTACCCCTCTGAGATGAAGCTTCCAGAGGAACTGTCAGGGAGCAACATTTGCTGTTCAGCAATATTTGCTGTTCTGCAGCCTCCGCTGGTGATACCCAGGCAAACAGCGTCTCCAGCAAACTCCAACAGACCTGCAGTTGAGGATCCTGATTGTTAGAAGGAAAACTAACAAACAGAAAGCATATCCACACCAAAACCCCATCTGTACGTCACCATCATCAAAGACCAAAGGTAGATAAAACCACAAAGATGGGGAAAGAACACAGCAGAAAAGCTGAAAACTGTAAAAATCAGCGTGCCTTTCCTCCTCCAGAGGAATGCAGCTCCTCGCCAGCAAGGGAACAAAGCTGGATGGAGAATGACTTTGATGAGTTGAGAGAAGAAGGCTTCAGACGATCAAACTTTTCCCAGCTAAAGGAGGAAGTTCAAACCCATGACAAACAAGCTAAAAATCTGGAAAAAAGATTAGACGAATGGCTAACTAGAATAACCAGTGTAGAGAAGTCCTTACATGACCTAATGGAGCTGAAAACCATGGCACGAGATCTACGTGACAAATGCATAAGCTTCAGTAGCTGATTTGATCAACTGGAAGAAAGGGTGTCAGCGATGGAAGATCAAATGAATGAAATGAAGCAAGAAGAGAAGTTTAGAGAAAAAAGAGTAAAAACAAATGAACAAAAGCCTCCAAGAAATATGGGACTATGTGAAAAGACCAAATCTACGTCTTACTGGTGTACCTGAAAGTGACAGGGAGAATGGAACCAAGTTGGAAAACACTCTGCAGGATATTATCCCGGAGAACTTCCCCAATCTAGCAAGGCAGGCCAACATTCAAATCAGGAAATACAGAGAATGCCACAAAGATACTCCTTGAGAAAAGCAACTCCAAGACACATAATTGTCAGATTCACCAAAGTTGAAATGAAAGAAAAAATGTTAAGGGCAGCCAGAGAGAAAGGTCGGGTTACCCACAAAGGGAAGCCCATCAGACTAACAGCTGATCTCTCGGCAGAAACTCTACAAGCCAGAAGAGAGTGGGAGCCAATATTCAACATTCTTAAAGAAAAGAATTTTCAACCCAGAATTTCATATCCAGCCAAAATAAGCTTCATAAGTGAAGGAGAAATAAAATCCTTTAGAGACAAGCAAATGCTGAGAGATTTTGTCACCACCAGGCCTGCCCCACAAGAGCTCCTGAAGGAAGCACTAAACATGGAAAGGAACAACTAGTACCAGCCACTGCAAAAACATGCCAAATTGTAAAGACCATTGATGCTAGGTAGAAACTGCATCAACTAATGGGCAAAATAACCAGCTAACATCATAATGACAGGATCAAATTCACACATAACAATATTAACCTTAAATGTAAGTGGGCTAAATGCTCCAATTAAAAGACATAGACTGTCAAATTGGATAAAGAGTCAATACCCATCAGTTTGCTGTATTCAGGAGACCCATCTCATGTACAGAGACACATAGGCTCAAAATAAACGGATGGAGGAAGGTCTACTAAGCAAATGGAAAACAAAAAAAGGCGGGGTTGCAATCCTAGTCTCTGATAAAACAGACTTTAAACCAAACAAAGATCAAAAGAGACAAAGAAGGCCATTACATAATGGTAAAGGGATCAATTCAACAAGAAGAGCTAACTATCTTAAATATGTATACACCCAATGCAGGAGTACCCAGATTAATAAAGCAAGTCCTTAGAGACCTACAAAGAGACTTAGACTCCCACACAATAATAATGGGAGACTTTAACACCCCACTGTCCAACCCACTATCAACATTAGACAGATCAATTGAGACAAAAAGTTAACAAGGATATCCAGGAATTGAACTCAGCTCTGCACCAAGTGGACCTTGTAGACATCTACAGAACTCTCCACCCCAAATCAACAGAATATACATTCTTCTCAGCACCACATCAAACTTATTCCAAAACTGACCACATAGTTGGAAATAAAGCACTCCTCAGCAAATGTAAAAGAACAGAAATTATAACAAACTGTCTCTCAGACCATGGCGCAATCAAACTAGAATTTAGGATTAAGAAACTCACTCAAAACTGCTCAACTACATGGAAACTGAACAACCTGCTCCTGAATGACTACTGGGTACATAAAGAAATGAAGGAAGAAATAAAGATGTTCTTTGAAACCAATGAGAACAAAGACACAACATACAAGAATCTCTGGGACACATTTAAAACAGTGTTTAGAGGGAAATTTATAGCACTAAATGCCCATAAGAGAAAGCAGGAAAGATCCAAAATTGACACCCTAACATCACAATTAAAAGAACTAGAAGAGCAAGAGCAAACATATTCAAAAGCTAGCAGAAGGCAAGAAATAACTAAGATCAGAGCAGAACTGAAGGAGATAGAGACACAAAAAACCCTTCAAAAAATCAATGAATCCAGGAGCTGGCTTTTTGAAAAGATCGACAAAATTGATAGACCACTAGCAAGACTAATAAGAAAAGAGAGAAGAATCAAATAGATGCAATAAAAAATGATAAAGGGGATATCACCACCAATCCCACAGAAATACAAACTACCATTGGAGAATACTATAAATACCTCTATGCAAATAAACTAGAAAATCTAGAAGAAATGGATAAATTCCTGGACACCCACACCCTCCCAAGACTACACAAGGAAGAATTTGGATGCCTGAATAGATCAATAACAGGCTCTGAAATTGAGGCAATAATTAATAGCCTACCAGCTAAAAAAAGTCCAGGACCAGAAGGATTGATAGTCAAATTCTACCAGAGGTACAAAGAGGAGCTGGTACCATTCCTTCTGAAACTATTCCAATCAATAGAAAAAGAGAGAATCCTCCCTAACTCATTTTATGAGGTCAGCATCATCCTGATACCAAAGCCTGGCAGAGACACAACAAAAAAAGAGAATTTTAGACCAATATCCCTGATGAACATCCATGCAAAAATCCTCAATAAAATACTGGCAAACCAAATCCAGCAGCACATCAAAAAGCTTCTCCAACACGATCAAGTTGGCTTCATCCCTGGGATGCAAGGCTGGTTCAACATACACAAATCAATAAATGTGATCCATCCCATAAACAGAACCAAAGACAAAAACCACATGATTATCTCAGTAGATGGAGAAAAGGCCCTTGACAAAATTCAACAGCCTTCATGCTAAAAACTCTCAATAAATTAGGTATTGATGGGATGTATCTCAAAATAATAAGAGCTATTTATGACAAACCCACAGCCAATATCATACTGACTAGGCAAAAACTGGAAGCATTCCCTTTGAAAACTGGCACAAGATAGGGCTGCCCTCTGTCACCACTCCTATTCAACATAGTGTTGGAAGTTCTGGCCAGGGCAATCAGGCAGGAGAAAGAAATAAAATGTATTCAATTAGAAAAAGAGGAAGTCAAATTGTCCCTGTTTGCAGATGACATGATTGTATATTTAGAAATCCCCATCATCTCAGCCCAAAATCTCTTTAAGCTGAGAAGCAACTTCAGCAAAGTCTCAAGATATAAAATCAATGTACAAAAATCACAAGTATTCCAATACACCAATAACAGACAAACAGAGAACCAAATCACGAGTGAACTCCCATTCACAATTGCTTTAAAGAGAATTAAATACCTAGGAATCCAACTTTCAAGGGATGTGAAGGACCTCTTCAAGGAGAACTGCAAACCACTGCTAAATGAAATAAAAGAGGACACAAATGGAAGAACATTCCATGCTCATTGACGGGAAGAATCAATATGGTGAAAATGGCCATACTGCCCAAGGTAATTTATAGATTCAATGTCATCCCCATCAAGCTACCAATGACTTTCTTCACAAAATTGGAAAAAACTACTTTAAAGTTCATATGGAACCAAAAAACAGCCCACATTGCCAAGACAATACTAAGCCAAAAGAAAAAAGCTGGAGGTATCACACTACCTGACTTCAAACTATACTACAAGGCTACAGTAACCAAAACAGCATGGTACTTGTACCAAAACAGAGATATAGACCAATGGAACAGAACAGAGCCCTCAGAAATAATACCACACATCTGCAACCATCTGATCTTTGACAAGTCTGACAAAAACAAGAAATGGGGAAAGGATTCCCTATTTAATAAATGGTGCTGGGAAAACTGGCTAGCCATATGTTGAAAGCTGAAACTGGATCCCTTCCTTACACCTTATATAAAAATTAATTCAAGATGGATTAAGACTTAAATGTTAGACCTAAAACCATTAAAACCCTAGAAGAAAACCTAGGCAATACCATTCAGGACATAGGCATGGGCGAGGACTTCATGACTAAAACACCAAAAGCAATGGCAACAAAAGCCAAAATTGACAAATGGGATATAATTAAAGAGCTTCTGCACAGCAAAAGAAACTACCATCAGAGTGAACAGGCAACCTACAGAATGGGAGAAAATTTTTGCAGTCTACTTATCTGACAAAGGGCTAATATCCAGAATCTACAAAGAACTCAAATTTACAAGAAAAAAGCAACCCATCAAAAAGTGGGCAAAGGATATGAACAGACACTTCTCAAAAGACGACATTTATGCAGCCAACAGACACATGAAAAAATGCTCATCATCACTGACCATCAGAGATAATGCAAATCAAAACCACAGTGAGATACCATCTCACACAAGTTAGAATGGCGATCATTAAGAAGTCAGGAAACAACAGGTGCTGGAGAGGATGTGGAGAAATAGGAACACTTTTACACTGTTGATGGGACTGTAAACTAGTTCAACCATTGTGGAAGACAGTGTGGTGATTCCTCAAGGATCTAGAATTAGAAATACCATTTGACCAAGCCATCCCATTATTGGGTATATACCCAAGGGATTATAAATCATGCTCCTATTAAGACACATGCACACGTATGTTTACTGCGGCACTGTTCACAGTAGCAAATACTTGGAAACAACCCAAATGTCCATCAATGATAGATTGGATTAAGAAAATGTGGCACTTTATACACCATGGAATACTATGCAGCCATCAAAAAGGATGAGTTCATGTCCTTTGTAGGGACATGGATGAAGCTGGAAACCATCGTTCTCAGTAAACTATCCCAAGGACAAAAAACCAAACACCACATGTTCTCTCTCATAGGTGGGAATTGAACAGTGAGAACACTTGGACACAGGAAGGGGAACATCACACACCGGGGCCTGTCATGGGGTTGGGGGAGGGGGGAGGGATAGCATTAGGAGATATACCTAATGTAAATGACAAGTTAATGGGTGCAGCACACCAGCATGGCACAGGTATACATATGTAACAAACCCTCACGTTATGCACATGTACCCTAGAACTTATAGTATAATAATTAAAAACAAAAAAGTTCCATTTCCAGACCATCTCTTTGTGAATGCATATGACTGTGGGCTTTTAGAAGCAGCCATGTTGGATGCTTTGCTGCTTAGAAATTTCTTCTGCCAGATACCCTAAATCATTGCTCTCAAGTTCAAAGTTCCACAGATCCCTAGAGCAGGGGCCCAATGTCACGAAGTCCCTTTGCTAAAGCACGCAAAGAATGGTCTTTGCTCGAATTCCCAATAAGTTTCTCCTCTCCACCTGAGGCTACCTCAGCCTGAACTTCATTGTCCATATCACTGTCAGCATTTTGGTCAAAACCATTCAACAAGTCTTTAGGAAGTTCCAAATTTTCCCACGTCTTCCTGTCTTTTTCTAAGCTCTCCAAACTGTTTCAACCTCTACTTATTACCCAGCTCTAATGTTGTTTTCACATTTTCAGGTATCTTTATAGCAGTACCCCACTCCTGATACCAAATTCCTACATTAGTCCATTTTTACACTGCTATAAAGAACTAGCTGAGACTGGATAACTTATGAAGAAAAGAAGTTTAGTCGACTCACAGTTCCACAGGATTAACAGGAAGCATGGCCAGGAGGCCTCATGACACTTACAATCATGGAGGGAGGGGAAGCAAGCAAGTCTTACCATGATGGAGCAAGGTGTGAGGGTGGGTGCCACATACTTTTCAATGATCAGATCTCATTAGAACTCACTCACTGTCACAAAGACAGTAAGGGGGGAAATTGCCCTCATGATCCAATCACCTCCCACCAGGCCCTCTTCTAATTCACCATGAGATTTGGGTGGGGACACAAATCTAAACCACATCAGGTGTATAGAAATGCTACTGCTTTTTGAACATTGATTTTTTTTAATGCTGAAACTTTGCTAAAGTTGTTTAGCAGATCTAGGAGACTTTTGGCAGAGACTACGGAGTTTTCTACATATAGAATCATATCCTCTGTGAAGAGACAGACTTTGACTTCATTTTTTTCCTATCTGGATGCCTTTTCTTTCTTTCTCTTGTTTGATTGCTCTGGCCAGGACTCCCAGTACTATGTTGAATAAGAGTGGTGAGGAGGATGTCTTGTTTTGGTTTTCAAGGACAATGCTTGTAGCTTTTCCCCATTCAGTGTGATTTTGGTTATGAGCTTGTCATAGATGGCTCTTACTGTTTTGAGGTATGTCCCTTTAATGCCTGGTTTCTTGACAGTTTTTATCATGAAGCGATGTTGAATTTCATTGAAAGGCTTTTCTGCATCTATTGAGATGATCATGTAGGTTTTTAGAGAACTCTGTTTATGCAATGAATCACATTTATTGATTTGTGTATATTGAACCAGACTTTCATCCTAAGAATAAAGCCTACTTGCTTGTAGTGAACTAGCTTTTTGATGTGTTACTGGATAAGGTTTGCTAGCATTTTGTGGAAGATTTTTACAAATATGTTAATCAGGGATATTGACCTGAAGTTTTCTTTTTTCACTGTGAATCTGCCAGATTTTGGTTTCAGAATGATGTTGGCCTCATAGAGTGAGTTACGGAGTGGTCCCTTCTACTCAATTTTTTGGAATAATTACAGTAGGATTAGTACTAGCTGTTTATATATCTGGTAGAATTCAGCTGTGAATCTGTCTGGTCCAGGACCTTTTCTTGTTGGCAGGGTTTCCATTACTGATTCAATTTTGCAATTCATTGTTCATCTGTTCAGGGTTTCAATTTCTTCCTGGTTTCATCTTGGGAGGTTGTGTGTTTCCAGGAAATTATCCGTTTCTTCTAGGTATCCTATTTTGTGTGCATAGAGGCATTCATAGTAGACTCTAAGGGTTTTTTTGTGTGTGTGTTTCTGTGAGGTTGGTGATAATGTCATCTTTGTCATTTCTGACTGTGTTTATTTGAATCTTCTCTTATTTTTTCTATATTAGTCCAGCTAGTGGTCTATCTTGTTTATTCTTTCAAAGAACAAACTTTTATTTTCATTGATTTTTAGTATGATTTTTTACATCTTAATTTCATTCAGTTCAGCTCTGAATTTTGGTTATTTCTTTTCTTCTGCTACTTTTGTGGTTATTTTGTGCTGGTTTCTATATTTACTCTAGGTATAATGTTAGGTTGTTAATTTGAGGTCTTTCTAGCTTTTTGATGTGGGTGTTCTGTGCTACAATCTTTCCTTTTAACACTCCTTTATCTGTGTTCCAGAGAGTCTGATATGTTGTATCTTTGTGTTGATTAGTTTCAAAGAATTTATTGATTTGTGCCTTAATTTTATTGTTTATTCCAAAGTCATTCAGGAGCAGGTTTTTAAATTTCCATATAATTGTATTCTTTTGAGAGATCGTCTTAGTGATGATTTCTATTTTTAATTGCGCTGTGGTCCAAGAGTATGGTTGGCATAGTTTCTTTTTTATTTAATTTTTCAGAATTTCTTTCTGACTGAACTTACAGTCAGTTTTAGAGTGTGTGCCTTGTGTGGATGAGAAGAAAGTATATTCTGTTGTTTTGGGGTGGATGGTTCTGTAGGTCCATTTGGTCAAGTCTTGAGCTTAGATTCTGAATATTTTTATTGGTTTTCTTCCTCAATGGCCCAATACTGTCAGTGGGGTGTTGACATCTCCCACCATTATTGTGTGGTTAATTAAGTCTCTTTATAGGTTGCTAAGAACTTGTTTTATGAATTTGGGTGCTCCCGTGTTGGGTACATTTGTATTTAGGTTAATTAAGCCTTCTTGTCGAATTGAACCCTTTACCATTATGTAATGCCCTACTTTGTCCTTTTTGATTGTTGTTGGCTTAAAGTCTGTTTTGTCTGAAATAAGAATGGTATACTCTGCTCTCCTCTGTTTTCCATTTGCTTGGTAAATTTTTCCCTATCTTTTTACTTTGAGCCTTTGGGTGTAATTGCACATGAAATAGGTCTATTGAAGACCGCATACAGTTCGGTCTTGCTTCTTTATCCAGTTTGCCACTATGTGCCTTTTACGTGGGGCATTTAGCCCATTTGTATTCAAGGTAAATATTAATATGTGTGGATTTGATCCTGTCATCATGTTGTTAGCTGATAGTTATGTAGACATGATTGTGTAGTTGCTTTATATTTTAGTGGGCTATATATTTAAGTGTATTTTTGTCATGGCAGGTAACATTCATTTACATATGTAACACTCCCTTAGTGACCTCTTGTAAGGCAGGTCTGGTGGTGACACTTTCCCTTATCATTACTTGTCTAAAAAGGATTATATTTCTCCTTCATTTATGAAGCTTAGTTTGGCTGGATATAAAATTTTTGGTTGGAGTTTCTTTTCTTTAAGAATGCTGGATATCTGACACTGATCTCTTCTGGCTTGTAGGATTTCTTTTTTTTTTTTTAATACTTTAAGTTCTAGGATACATGTGTACAATGTGTGGGTTTGTTACATATGTATATATGTGCCATGTTGGTGTGCTGCACCCATTAACTTGTCATTTACATTAGGTATATCTCCTAATGCTATCCCTCCCCCCTACCCCCACCCCACGACAGGCCCTGGTGTGTGATGTTCCCCTTCCTGTGTCCAAGTGTTCTCATTGTTCTATTCCCACCTATGAGTGAGAACATGTGGTGTTTGGTTTTTTGTCCTTGGGATAGTTTACTGAGAACGATGGTTTCCAGCTTCATCCATGTCCCTACAAAGACATGAACTCATCCTTTTTGATGGCTGCATAGTATTCCATGGTGTATAAAGTGCCACATTTTCTTAATCCAATCTATCATTGATGGACATTTGGGTTGTTTCCAAGTATTTGCTACTGTGAACAGTGCCGCAGTAAACATACGTGTGCATGTGTCTTAATAGGAGCATGATTTATAATCCCTTGGGTATATACCCAATAATGGGATGGCTTGGTCAAATGGTATTTCTAATTCTAGATCCTTGAGGAATCACCACACTGTCTTCCACAATGGTTGAACTAGTTTACAGTCCCATCAACAGTGTAAAAGTGTTCCTATTTCTCCACATCCTCTCCAGCACCTGTTGTTTCCTGACTTTTTAATGATCGCCATTCTAACTTGTGTGAGATGGTATCTCACTGTGGTTTTGATTTGCATTATCTCTGATGGTCAGTGATGATGAGCATTTTTTCATGTGTCTGTTGGCTGCATAAATGTCTTCTTTTGAGAAGTGCCTGTTCATATCCGTCACCACTTTTTGGTGGGGTTGTTTGATTTTTTCTTGTAAATTTGTTTAAGTTCTTTGTAGATTCTGGATATTAGCCCTTTGTCAGATGTGTAGATTGTGAAAATTTTCTCCCATTCTGTAGGTTGCCTGTTCACTCTGATGGTAGTTTCTTTTGCTGTGCAGAAGCTCTTTAGTTTAATTAGATCCCATTTGTCAATTTTGGCTTTTGTTGCCATTGCTTTTGGTGTTTTAGTCATGAAGTCCTCGCCCATGCCTATGTCCTGAATGGTATTGCCTAGGTTTTCTTCTAGGGTTTTAATGATTTTAGGTCTAACATTTAAGTCTTTAATCCATCTTGAATTGATTTTTGTATAAGGTGTAAGGAAGGGATCCAGTTTCAGCTTTCTACATATGGCTAGCCAGTTTTCCCAGCACCATTTATTAAATAGGGAATCGTTTCCCCATTTCTTGTTTTTGTCAGACTTGTCAAAGATCAAATGGTTGCAGATGTGTGGTATTATTTCTGAGGGCTCTGTTCTGTTCCATTGGTCTATATCTCTGTTTTGGTACAAGTACCATGCTGTTTTGGTTACTGTAGCCTTGTAGTATAGTTTGAAGTCAGGTAGTGTGATACCTCCAGCTTTGTTCTTTTGGCTTAGGATTGTCTTGGCATTGTGGGCTGTTTTTTGGTTCCATGCGATCTTTAAAAGTTGTTTCTAATACTGTGAAGAAAGTCATTGGTAGCTTGATGCGGATGGCATTGAATCTATAAATGACCTTGGGCAGTATGGCCTTTTTCACCATATTGATTCTTCCTCTCCATGAGCATGGAATGTTCTTCCATTTGTTTGAGTCCTCTTTTATATCATTGAGCAGTGGTTTGTAGTTCTCTTTGAAGAGGTCTTTCACATACCTTGTAAGTTGGATTCCTAGGTATTTTATTCTCTTTGAAGGCAATTGTGAATGGGAGTTCACTCGTGATTTGGTTCTCTGTTATTGGTGTATTGGAATGCTTGTGATTTTTTTCCAGATTGATTTTGTATCCTGAGACTTTGCTGAAGTTGTTTATCAGCTTAAGGAAATTTTGGGCTGAGACGATGGGTTTTCTAAATATACAATCATGTCATCTGCAAACAGGGACAATTTGACTTCCTCTTTTCCTAGTTGAATATCCTTTATTTCTTTCTTCTGCCTGATTGCCCTGGCCAGAACTTCCAACCTGTAGTGGTGAGAGAGGGCATCCCTGTCTTGTGCCAGTTTTCAAAGGGAATGCTTCCAGTTTTTGCCCATTCACTGTGATATTGGCTGTGGGTTTGTCATAAATAGCTTATGTTATTTTGAGATACATCCCATCAATACCTAGTTTATTGAGACTTTTTAGCATGAAGGCTGTAGAATTTTGTCAAAGGCCTTTTCTGCATCTATTGAGATAATCATGTGGTTTTTGTCTTTGGTTCTGTTTATGGGACGGATCACATTTATTGATTTGTGTATGTTGAACCAGCCTTGCATCCCAGGGATGAAGCCAACTTGATCGTGTTGGAGAAGCTTTTTGATGTGCTGCTGGATTTGGTTTGCCAGTATTTTATTGAGGATTTTTGCATGGATGTTCATCAGGGATATTGGTCTAAAATTCTCTTTTTTTGTTGTGTCTCTGCCAGGCTTTGGTATCAGGATGATGCTGACCTCATAAAATGAGTTAGGGAGGATTCTCTCTTTTTCTATTGATTGGAATAGTTTCAGAAGGAATGGTGCCAGCTCCTCTTTGTACCTCTGGTAGAATTCAGCTGTGAATCCGTCTGGTCCTGGACTTTTTTTAGCTGGTAGGCTATTAAATATTGCCTCAATTTCAGACCCTGTTATTGGCCTATTCAGGGATTCAACTTCTTCCTTGTATAGCCTCGGTAAGGTGTATGTGTCCAGGAATTTATCCATTTCTTCTAGATTTTCTAGTGTATTTGCATAGAAATGTTTATAGTATTCTCTGATGGTAGTTTGTATTTCTGTGGGATTGGTGGTGATATCCCCTTTATCATTTTTTATTGCATCATCTATTTGATTCTTCTCTCTTTTCTTCTTTATTAGTCTTGCTAGTGGTCTATCAATTTTGTTGTTCTTTTCAAGTTTTTAGCTTCTTTGCCATGGGTTTGAACGTCCTCCTTTAGCTCGGAGAAGTTTGTTATTATTGATCATCTGAAGCCTTCTTCTCTCAACTCATCAAAGTCATTCTCCATCCACCTTTGTTCCGTTGCTGGAGAGGAGCTGCGTTCCTTTGGATGAGAAGAGGTGCTCTGATTTTTAGAATTTTCAGTGTTTCTGCTCCAGTTTCTCCTCATCTTTGTGGTTTTATTTACCTTTGGTCTTTGATGATGGTGACGTATAGATGGGGTTTTTGTATGGATGTCCTTTCTGTTTGTTAGTCTTTCTTCTAACAGTCAGGACTCTCAGCTGCACGTCTGTTGGAGTTTGCTGGAGGTCCATTCCAGACCCTGTTTGCCTGGGTATCACCAGCAGAGGCTGCAGAACAGCAAATGTTGCTGCCTGATCATTCCTCTGGAAGCTTTATCTCAGAGGGGCACCTGGCTGTATCAGTTGTCAGTCAGCCCCTCTGGGAGGTGTCTCCCAGTTAGGCTACTCGGGGGTCAGGGACCCACTTGAGGAGGCATTCTGTCCGTTCTCAGATCTCAAACTCTGTGCTGGGAGAACCACTACTCTCTTCAAAGCTATCAGACAGGGATGTTTAAGTCTGCAAAAGTTTCTGCTGCCTTTTGTTCAGCTATTCCCTTTCCCCAGAGGTGGAGTCTACAGAGGCAGGCAGGCCTCCTTGAGCTGTGGTGGGCTCCACCCAGTTTGAGCTTCCTGGCCACTTTATTTACCTACTCAAGCCTCAGCAATACTGGGCACCCCTCCCCCAGCCTCACTGCCGCCTTGCAGTTTGATCTCAGACTGCTGTGCTAGCAATGAGCCAGGCTTCATGGGTGTGGGACCCTCTGAGCCAGGTGCAGAATATAATCCCTGGTGTGCTGTTTGGCTAAGACAGTTGGAAAAGCTCAGTATTAGGGGTGGGAGTGTTCTGATTTTCCAGGTACCATCTGTCCCAGCTTCCCTTGGCTAGGAAAGGGAATTCCCGACCCCTTGCACTTCCCGGGTGAGGCGATGCCTGCCTTGCTTCAGCTCACACTCCATGGGCTGCACACACTGTCTGACAAGCCCCAGTGAGATGAACCTGCTACCTCAGTTAGAAATGCAGAAATCACTTGTCTTCTGTGTGGCTCACCCTGGGGGCTGTCGACTGGAGCTGTTCCTGTTTGGCCATCTGGGAACCTCCCTGGCTTGTAGGATTTCTGATGAAAGATCCTTTGTTAGCCTGATAAGGTTTCCTTTGTAGGTGACCTGCCCCTTCTCTCTAGCTATCTTTTATTTATATTTATATATAATTTTTATTATATATGTATATATATAATTTTTGCATTGACCTTGGAGAATCAGATGACTATGTGTCTTGGGGATGGTTGTCTTGTATAATATCTTGAAGGGGTTCTCTGAATTTGAATGTTCAGAGCTCTCTAGCAAAGGTGGGAATATTTTCATGGGTGATATTCTCAAATATATTTTCCAAGTTGCTTGCTCTTTCTCCCTGTCTTTCAGGGACACCAATCATTCATAAGTTTTGTGTCTTTATATAATCCTATATTTCTTGGTGATTTTGCTCATTATTTTAAATTCTTTTTTCCATATTTTCATCTGACTGTGTTAATTCAAATAACTGGTCTTTGAGCTCTGAGATTCTTTCCTCAGTCTGGTCTGTCAGTAGCTCTGACTGTATTATGAAATTTTTGTAGTTTGATTTTCAGCTCTATAAGGTCAGTTTGATAGAGTTATTGGCAATTTCGTTTTTTAACTCTTACATTGTTTTACTGGATTTCTTAGATTCCTTGGATTGGGTTTCACCTTTCTCTTGAATCTCAGTGATCTTCAATGCTATCCAGGTTCTTAATTCCATGTGTTTTATTTCAGTGATTTCAGCCTGGTTAAGGATAATTTCTGGGGAGCTAGTGTGGTTGTTTGGAGGTAAGACAACACTCTGGCTTTTTGAGTTGTCAGAGTTCTTGCATTGCTTTTTTCTCATCTGGGTGGGGTGATATTTCTTTAATCTTTGAAGCTGCTATTGATTGGCTTCATTTCTTGACTATTTTATGGAGGCAGGGCTCCTGGGCTGCATGCCATAACCTGTTGGGCTGGGAGAAGTACTGTAGCTTTGTTTTCTGGCCCCTCATGCTTAAGTACCTGCTACTTTAGAGAGGCTGAAGTATTCCTGGTCCTCTGGCAACAACTCCAATGGGGAGTGCCAGCAAAAGTGCTTTGCTGTGGCAGTGGTAGTGGTGTCTGTGCTTGCGTGCACCCCAGCCACAGTAGGGTAATGGTGCAGCAGGACCTGTGTGTACACACATGAGCTGGTGGCTATGGCATGGTAAGGTCCATGCTCCAGTGGCATGGTAAGGTGCATGCACACACATGTGCCAGCAGTGACAGGGTGGTGTGCTCTGTGTGTGTGCACCAGTGGCAGTTGGGTGGTGGGGTCTGTGCATGTGCTGGTATGGACAAGGCTGTGGCAATGGCAAGGTATGTGTGTATGTGCATGCTGGCAAAGAGGTCAGGGAAGGCTTCAGGTGAATGTGTGCTGGCAAAGCAGTGGAGATAGGCTGTGGATGGGTTTACACTGCCATGGGCCTGCCTGTGGAAGCTCTCTAATGGCTAGGTGGTGTCTGTTGGTGAAAGAGCTATGGTGGTGGCTGCCAAAAAGCACCCTGGTTGGGCATCTGACTTTGCACTGCAAGCAGTCACAGTCTGGCAGGGACCCAGGAAGAGGCCAGCTTATGGGGGTGGGAGAGCGGCTAATATTAGACTGGCTATATCTCATGGGCAAGACAAGCCTGCTCTATCTAGGCCTGAGAGTCAGTAGAGGCTGAAGCCACCTGGAGGAGCATGGTGAACCTTTGGGGGTAGGTGTCCCTGGCTGTGCTCCACTGCAGCCATTCCCACACCAAACACTCTGGGCTCTACACAGGCTAGAGTCCTTTCCCTGCCACCTCTTTAAGTGGCTCTCCCTGCCAGCTCAGATGTCCGTGGGGGTCATGGGGTCTCCTGTAGCAAGGATTCCAGAGGCCCATGGCGAGAGTGGGCCACTCCTTGCTTGTTTAACACAGCCCGTCCCCAGTAGCTTCTGGGGGTCTGGAATTAGTTCTGGTGCTTGGCAACCCCATGCAGTGTTTCCACCTTCCTCCTCCTCCAGCCCAGGGTCTACATCCTCCCTCTGCCCACTCTCAATGCCCTCCCTCCAAAGATCTGCTTGGATCTGCTTGTGCCAGTATTGATGATGTAGTCTCTTGGTGGGAGAAGCTCTTCCTGGCTGTGTTTAGTTGGCTATCTGGTTTTAGTTTTCTACTTGAATATAAGCTTCTTAACAAGCATCTCATGTGATGCATGGAAGATATTTTAATTATTAACTTTAAAACATCTATGGTTAAAATTCAACTGATGAGTGAGTAGGTTACATGGTATGTGAGTTATATCTCAAAAAAAGTCTTATAAAGAAAAGAAAATGAAAAAAATAAATTGATGCAGTTTTCTTTCTCCAACATTTTTTCCATAAGGACGCAGGAAGAAAATAAGGAAATAAGGAAGGAATGAAGAGGGAAATGACTTTACAAATTGAATCCATAGAAGGAATGAACTGAAAGCATCTGTGATGATTAGTTTTATGTGGCAACTTGATTGAGTCATGGGGTGCCCACATTAAACATTATGTCTAGGAGTGCCTGTGAGGCTGTTTCCTGATGACATTAGTATTTGAATCCATGTACTCTAAAATAGATACTTTCCATAATGTGGGTGGATATCATCTAATCCCTTAAGTGCTGGCATAGAACAAGAGGCAGAGGAAAGAGGAATTCATGCCCTTTTGATTTCTGCCTCACTGCTTGAGTAGGGGCATCTTATCTCATATTCTCCTGCTCTCAGAGATTTACACCATCAGCCCCCCTATTTCTCTGGCCTTTGAACTTGGACTGAATTACACCACCAGCATTCCTGGGTCTCCTGCCTGCAGACAATAGATCCTGGGAAATCTCAGCCCTCATAAATGCTTGAGTCAATTCCTCATAATTCTCTCTCTACCTCTACCTCTCTCTACCTCTGTGTGTGTGTGTGTGTGTGTATGTGTGTGTGCATATATATATTTTTTCTGGAGAGCCATAACTAATACAGCATCTAAGAGATCATTTGATTCAGTCTCCTGCTTTTGCTGATGAGTAAGCATAGGCCAGAAGACCAAAACGTGTTTATTCAGAGTCTCACATTCATTTACCTGTAACACCTAAGCCTTCCTTCTTCCTCAGTTCTCTTTTTTATTTAACATACAGTCAATACAAGCAAAACAGAATACAGAAATGACCCTTCACAGAGGAGAGACTCAGAATGAGACATGAGGAAAGATCTGACTTAGCCTAGGGAATGAGGGATCATGTATTTAGTGAGGCTGATTTTCTCCATTTCTATTTTTAAGAAAACTCTGAGTTCTGGCAGAAAGTGTTCAACACGTAAGCATAGTATTTGTCAAAAACTTAAGGCACTTAACTGATTAAACATTTTTATCTTTTTGTGTTTGACATTTTCATCAGCTAGAAATTTGCCAGGCTAAATGATTGAGTTTGAAATAAAATTTTACATGATTAAGCATTTAAAAATGAATACTAATGCATTTCAAATACAGCACCCACCATAAGAAACAGAATATTACTTCATTTTAAAGTAGACCAATTAACAATTGAGGGCTTTGAGAGCAACTTACTTATTATGCCTAGAATGAAATAAGAAATTGTAAGTGGATGAGTTGTCAAACAAAAGAGCCCATACGATATACATGTGCCACAGAGATTTCCATTTTTCACAACGTGGGTAAATGACCCCACCTTAAAACTCAACTTCCTATGTATGTTTTCTGCTGCTCTGCATTTATTACATCTCTTTTAGTTACTGAGATCATGCCCTTGGTAACTGACAAGGACATGAGCTCTAAAAAGTGATACGGTAGACCAGTGGTGACTTTAAGAACTAACAGGATAATCTCTCTTTTTTCTATCTTTTCCTTTTCCATTAAAGTGAAACTTCTTGGATTGATCCCACTTATCCATAATGTGCTGTTAGTAAACCACAATTCCTTTTCCTGAGAATATGTTCAGGGGTATGTATGATTTCAGAAGAATGTTTCCAGATCAGTTCTTTTCTTAGCTCAGCATATAGTGTCTATCGGAGGTATTTTTTAGCCACAGTGCTTGACACATAATGTTTGTTTAATAAACATCCAATGACTAAATTAATCAATGAAAGCAGTTCTTGCATGCCATTTCAGTAAATAAACATGTGTGGGTATGTGGACATTTTTCTTTTTTCAGTTAAAATGCCTAGGCTAGTTGATATTATCTTTTAGCATTAGTAACTGAGAAAGATTTTATGGGTAATTTGTTAGCCTATATGGCAAGTTGGTGGGTGGATCAGTCTGTTGCTAAGGGGAGAGCTGTGATCAGCTACATACTTAACTTCAAAACATTTCACAATTTTATAAATATGTGCCTTTGAAAGAAAGGGAAAAAAAGGTTTTATTGGGCTACATTGGATATGAAATGATTAAATAGTGCCAAAAATCCTGATCTTTACAATTAAAAGAAGTGTTTAATAATATTACATAAGAAATATAATTTTGGGATGCTTCTGTCTACTGGAAGATTGCTTTTTAAATTCGGACTTCAATCTCGAAGTTATTCTTTCAACCAAAACAAGAGGAGGTTGGAAAATAGACTGGATTATATCAAATAATGAATGCAGGGATGTGCAGAGCAGGTGAGGTCTGGCTGTAGAAGAGAACACCTGAATAGAATGGAAACATCTTCAGAAAGCAAAGATGATATCAGTATGGAGGCTCCTGAAAACTCTAATTGCTGCAGTTCAGGCAGAAGAGAAAGGCAGGCTGATTAGCAGAGTACTACGATCAAAAAGCTGAATCTGCAGAAGCATGAAAAGTCAGAGGATCTCTTTGCTCACAAGAAACCAGTGAACAATTTTTTTTTTTTTTGCAGTGAGTGTTGAACTGTCTTCTTATCGATAAAATTAATAAAGACTCTCTCTAAACTCAACTTTGGACATTTGCAGCTACTTATCACATACGAGATGACAAAAGTAGAAGGGAGCTTAAAAATAGGACCCAGACAAGAAGAAATATGACTTAACAGAACTCCTTCTCTTAAGCATACCATTTTACCCCTTTCGGGTGAAGAATTGCAAGTTACTATTTCCAGTTCGTTTTATACCAATCAACTTATATTAACTGCATCAAAACTTATAGTTCTCATTGCACGGGTTTAGTCATTCCCAATCTGTTGGAGACATGTCATTTCTATAAATTCCCAAGTTAAAAAAATTATTGCCAGTATTGCTGTAAATACAGATTTAAAATGGGCAGAGTGCACTGAATTTGCTCCCGAGATACCATTGTATAAGTGGGCAATGTGTTGGCAGCATCCTTGGGTGGGTATTTCATTAAGAAGACTTGCTTTTCCCTGGGTGTGCTACAAATAACATCTACCTACTTAAAATTAACCCAAAGCACATGTTCTATTAATGATGTCCCAGCAATGTCATCTGTATGCATAAAGCATACATGGGGCTGACCCTAAGGCTACACTCAGACCTTGAGAATATTGTGATTTCATCCAGTTTGCACAATGATGCTGTGACTAGACTAGAATTCAGAGCTTTGAAAAAATCCCTCTGCATGGCTTAGCGTCTTTTATCAATACGTTTATTATGTTATTTTCTCACTTGATGACTTCACACTGCCATTGTATCTGACCTAAACTAACCGTGAAGTTTTTATGACCCTTTATAATCTGATATCATCTTGGCTTTCTGAAGATTTTCATTATGTTTAAGTATTCTCACCCACAGGAGCCCTCACCTGCTCTGCACATCTCTGCATGCATTTCCTGATTTATACTGATCTTTTTTCCAGGAATATAAAAAGATCTCGTATCTTGCTCTTCTCTACCAGACAAAAAATGGTCTCCCTTCTCTTGTTTTAATATATATTTTTATTATACTTTAAGTTCTAGGGTACTGATATACCCACTGATCTCTCCCTGTTCTAAGCTTCTTTGGTATACATTTTGAATATTACATAGTTAATATAGTTTATGAATATTACATATGTCACTTTTTATAGTGTTATCATTTAATTTTTGTTAGTCTTTTCTATTAAAATTGTATTTCTCAAAGTCAGGAACTTTCTGGTAGCTCCATGGCTCCCAGGTCAGAGATAAATAATAGTCCTCAAATTATTTGATACCTCTTCTTCAGTTCTATTTTAAAAGTTTCCTTAAAATAAACACTTTCCCACAGAGCTATGATGCTTTATTGTTTTGTGATCCTGATGCCTTTTTATTTATTCATATTGTATCTATCCTCTTGCATCCCATACATTGTGATGGCAGTTCTGGAAGTAGCATCCAGATTAGTTTTGAAATAAAAGATTAATTTTATTTTGAGAACTTCACAGCACCCCTCGAGAGTATAATTAGCGTTGCTCCATGTCATTGTGAAGCTTGATTTGAAAAACATTCTCAAAATTAGAAGCAGAGCTTGTGTGATCCATTGACAAGAACCAATGATGATTAAGCTAATTGGTTAATATGGTCTCAAAATGCAGAATTTAAGGAGTGTAAAGTCAGAGATCAAGAGAACAAGGTGTCTGTGGGCAATTAGCAGCCATTTGAGGCAGATGGGGAAAGCCAAATTGAAAAGATTTGCTGAGAGTGAGGCACCACACAAATGTAAGTTGACAGTATAGTATCAATATTATTTTAGTAGTCTGATGATCATCATGGTGTTTGGCACTCAGTGATAATCAAAAAACACCATTTATCAACTTATGGAAGCAATACATCTCATGTTCTATTGCTCATTGTGAGTATAAATTCAGAGGAGGAAAGATTTATATTGATTAATGTTTAAATATTATCTGTTTTTCCTTATACTGTCATGATGAGCGTAATTTTCATTATGCTTCATCTGTCTCCCCAAAAGTAACTTTTTACTAGACTATCAATATCAATTTTCTTTATTGTCTTTACCTCCTCTGACAAGTCTTATGTTGCTAAGTTATTCATTGGCCTAAAAATTTATTAATCTAAATTTTAAGACTATCACATAATCCCATTATTTGAAAAAATCCCTCTTTACATCCAAAGTATCTGACTTTTAATGATGGCCATTTATACTTTTAAAAACAGTTATCTTTGTCACCAGTTACTGATCCTATTGGCAGAACCACATATTTTTTTAAATTCGGGTTTTTTTTATGTTTTAATCAGTATTTTATTACTGTTTCATCCTAGCAACTGTTCTACTTTTCAGTTATTGCAAAACATTTGAAACAGCTTTATTTATGAGATGGGAAAATAAGCTTTGACAAATTTATTTACATTTAGAATAACCTTATAAATATACTACAGATTCTTTTATCGTATAACTAATGCTTGTATTAGTTACTTATTGCTGTGTAAAAAATTACTCCAAAACTCACATCCTAAAGTATCATGTATTTATCATCTCACATTTTCTGAGGATTAAGAGTCTATGAGCAACTTAGTTGCATATTTCCGGCTAGTGGTTTCTCCTACTAAACTTTCTTTCTTCAGAGGTTTTCCATTTAATTACCTAAAAAAAAACCTCATTTTGTTCTATTTTGAATGGCCTTTGATTCTTGGAGTCCTTTTAGTTTATGATTTTGATACTGTTTCAAAATCAGTGTATACAATATGTAAATATTATGTATGTGGATCTGTAATATTTCTATTTGTACTTCTTATTGAAGGCATTTGCCTTTTAGGTGTGGGAAGAAGGCAACATTCAAGGTTGATCTACATTCATTGCAGTCTGTCTGAATCACTATTTCTGTGGGTGTGACTTACCTTAGATATTCCCATATGATTGTTCATTTTATATCTTTCTGTATTCTGTATTTTATATCTTTGCTCTATTCTGCATTTTATCAACACTATTTGACCTTCATTGTATCGATTCCAGACCATTTCTTCAATTTATCAACATATGATATTATAACATAATCTTTTGTAGCTTTTTGAAATCTTTCTCAACCATAAAATGCCTGCACACTTTAATAGTTGCCTTAAAACAAGCTTTAGATAAAACTGACACCCCAGCGGCTTCTACGTGGTCATATCTTTTCAATTTAACACATATGGTTTACAATTATACTTTAATTTCAAATACTTTAATTAGAAGTCTACTTTAGTGTTACCATACTTTACTTCCTATTAGAATGGGTCATGTACAACGTGTATTTTTCTTCTACATCACTGAAAAGTGGGATTTGAAACAATAAACTTTGATCAGAGAAATAGGAGTTCTAACACATAGTTGGAATGTCTGGTGGAGAAACAAGTGTCTGTTGGTGTAATTTTAAGAATTCTGGGAACACTTCTTGGTCTAAAATGTGCCTCTTCAGAGGCTAATTGATGCTGGGAATTTCATTACTCCAGATCTGGGTTTTGCTTTTAGCTCAAATCTTTGATTTCGTAGAAGCCAATAGCCTGATGGTGTATGCCACTTGGCAAAGAAGACAAGGTAAAAATAGGACAAATAAGGAAGGACTGCATGGGGCACCCCAAAGGAAGGACTGCATGGGGCACCCCAAAGATAAACATTATGTCTGTTTGATGTGTGGCTCAATAATATATGAGGCACCCTGAAGATAAGCATAATCTAAGTGGTTTTTCTACTCTTTATTTTATCCATATTGTGATTAAATTGCTGAGAAAGCTACTATCCTTGGCAGAATGTTTTTATTATAGAAAATTCAAAATGTAAGAAGCAAGATGTTCAACTTTTGTATTGCAAAGCAGAGACAATAGTCTTGAACAATG
The DNA here is from genome assembly GCF_000001405.40 of Homo sapiens. Lineage (NCBI taxonomy): Eukaryota > Metazoa > Chordata > Mammalia > Primates > Hominidae > Homo > Homo sapiens. The sequence continues at coordinate 53,812,246 of NC_000018.10, read as the reverse complement.
AGGCTTCTGGTTTGTACAAGTTGAGTGTTTTAAGAAAGTAAAGTTTTGGCTAGGCGCGGTGGCTCATGCCTATAATTCCAGCACTTTGGGAGACTGAGGTGGGTGGATCATGAGGTCAGGAGTTCAAGACCAGCCTCGCCAAGACGGTGAAACATCGTCTCTACTAAAAATACAAAAATTAACCAGGTATGGTGTCAGGCACCTGTAATCCCAGTTACTCAGGAGGCTGGGGCAAAGAATTGCTTGAACCCAGGAGGCGGAGGTTGCAGTGAGCCGAGGTCACGCCACTGTACTCCAGCTTGGACTACAGAGCGAGACTCGGTCCCCCACCAAAAAAAAGAAAGAAGAAAAAAAAGAAAGTAAAGTTTTATAATTTCTAAAAGCTTGGCTTGGAGTATAAAAATCAAAGCCTTAAACGAATCAAGTCATAAAGCTTGTGTCATACATGTAGCACCAGCTTTGGAAAGAAATCATGGCCAAGTGCGGTGGCTCACGCCTGTAATCCCAGCACTTTGGGAGGCCGAAGTGGGTGGACCACTTGAAGAAAGGAGTTTAAGACCAGCCTGGCCAACATGGTGAAACCCCATCACTACTAAAAAATCCAACAATTAGCTGGGTATGGTGGCGTGTGCTTGTAGTCCCAGCTACTCAGGAGGCTGAGGCAGGAGAATTGCTTGAACCCAGGATGCAGAGGTTATGGTGAGCTGAGATCTCGCCACAGCACTCCAGCCTGGGTGACAGAGTAAGACCCGGTCTCAAAACAAAACAAATCATAACATTGAATGAGGTACTTTTCCCCTTTCTTACCTTGATACATACCCTTTGGGACCAGGAGAGAAGGAGGGATGTTAAGGAAATAAACATTGAACCTGGTGTTTATCCTAGGTAGGGAGCCTGAATTTACCATCCAGCTGAGTTGAGTCTTGGGGGAGAGAAATGAGTCTTCTAGATACATTTTGGAAATACAAGATTGATAGTGCATTCCTTGTCCAGAACGTGAGATATTAGTAGAAATCTCTAGTATTGTTATGGAGTGAAAACAGAGGAGATGTCTATGGAGATGGCTATGGAGAATGGGAAGTCTAAAGGGAAGGAAATATCTAAGGTGGTTTACTCTATCTTCCTCAACACCAAGTGAGGAAGGCAGCCAGAGTTTTCTGTGTTCCTCATGAGAGAATTTAGCAGAGAAAATTCTCTGAAGCTGGAGCTTTGCAGTGAGGAGGAAGTTTCAGTGAGCATGAACTTATGATTGGAATTGAATTCATATTTAGGCATCATGTCCTTCCTTAAGAGGGTGTGCAGAGGTGGGGAGAGCATCTTGGCCACTCCACTGAACCAAAGTTATACTCAGGTTTTGCTACATCTTCCAGCAGCATTGGGATCCGCCTCTGATTGTTTTTGTAGTGCAACTACATAATTACAAGATATTTTCTTCTATCCCTCCAGCAATTATTCTGAAGATCTCACTAATCTGAAACACAGTTCAGGGCACATTAATGCGTTCATGAAAATACTTGCCACACATCTGGCCCTCTCTTTCCTCACCTAAACCTCATGTACTTGCAGGGGTTATTACATAAGAAACCCATATATTAAAGCAACTCTATCTACATCACTTAAATGAGCTTAATTTTTTCAAAACCTTTGCTTTCACTATTTTTTTAAAATACCATACATTATGCTATATCGTATCATTATGTGATATATATATTATACATATTATCACACTGACATACATTATGTCATTTTAATCCTTTCAATAAAACTGTGAGTAAATGTATAGAACTCATTGTACACAAGAGAAAAAGCTTAGTGAACATATTAGAGTTCCTCAGAGAAACAGAACTAATAGGATATATATATATATATATATATATATATATATATATATATATACACACACACACATATATAATACATGTGCTGAACATGCAGGTTTGTTACATAGGTATACATGTGCCATGGTGGTTTTCTTCACCTATCAACCGGTCATATAGGTTTTAAGCACCTCATGCATTACATATTTGTCCGAATGCTCTCCCTCCCCTTGCCCCCAACCTGCTGACAGGCCCCAGTTTTATGTTCCCCTCCCTGGGTCCATGTGTTCTCATTGTTCAACTCCCATTTCTGAGTGAGAACATGCAATGTTTGGTTTTCTGTTCCTGTGTTAGTTTGCTGAGAATGATGGTTTCTAGCTTTATCCATGTGCCTGGAAATGACATGAACTCATTCTTTTTTTTATGGCTGCATAGTATTCCATGGTGTATATGTGCCACATTTTCTTTATCCAGTCTATCATTTATGAGCATTTGGGTTGTTTCCAAGTCTTTGCTATTGTAAATAGTGCTGCAATAAACATACATGTGCATGCATCTTTATAGTAGAATGATTTATAATCTTTTGGGTATATACCCAGTAATGGGATTGCTGGGTCAAATGGTATTTCTGGTTCTAGATCCTTGAGGAGTCACCACACTGTCTTCCACAATGGTTGAACTAATTTAGACTCCCACCACCAGTGTAAAAGTGTTCCTATTTTTCCACATCCTCACCAGCATCTGTTGTTTCCAGACTTTTTAATGATTGTCATTCTAACTGATGTAAAATGGTATCTGATTGTGATCTCAGTGGTATCTCATTTTGATTTACATTTCTCTAATGACCAGTGATGATGAGCTTTTTTTCATTTGCTTGTTGGCCACATAAATGTCATCTTCTGAGAAGTGTCTGTTCATATCCTTCACCCACTTTTTGATGGGGTTGTTTTTTTTTCTTCTATATTTGTTTAAGTTCCTTGTAGATTCTGGATATTAGACCTTTGTCAGATGGATAGATTGCGAAAATTTTCTCCCATTCTGTAGGGTGCCTGTTTACTCTGATGACAGTTTCTTTTGCTGCGCAGAAGCTCTTAGTTTAATTAGATGCCATTTGTCAATTTTGGCTTTTGTTGCCGTTGCTTTTGGTGTTTTAGTCATGAAGTCTTTGCTCATGCCTGTGTCCTGAAATGTATTGTCTAGATTTTCTTCTAGGGTTTTTATGGTTTTAGGTTTTAGATTTAAGTCTTTAATCCACCTTGAGTTAATTTTTATATAAGGTGTAAATAAGGGGCCCAGTTTCAGTTTTCTGTGTATGGCTATCCAGTTTTCCCAACACCATTTATTAAATAGGGATTCCTTTCTGCATTGCTAGTTTTTGTCAGATTTGTTGAAGATCAGATGGTTGCAGAAGTATTATTTCTGAGGCTTCTGTTCCATTGGTCTACACATCTGTTTTGGTACCAGTACCATGCTGTTTTGGGTACGGTAGTCTTGTAGTACAGTTTGAAGTCAGGTAGCATGATGCCTCCAGCTTTGTTCTTTTTGCTTAGGATTGCCTTGGCTATACAGGCTCTTTTTTGGTTCCATATGAAATTTAAAGTAGTTTTTCCAATTCTGTGAAGAAAGTCAATGGTAGCTTGATGGGAATAGCATTCAATCTATAAATTACTTTGGGCAGTATGGCCATTTTTATGATACTGATTTTTCCCATCCTTGAACTTGGAATCTTTTTCCATTTGTTTGTGTCCTCTCTTATTTCCTTGAGTAGTGGTTTGTAGTTCTCCTTGAAGAACTCCTACATGTCCCTTGTAAGTTGTATTCCTAGGTATTGTATTTTCTTTGTAGCAGTTGTGAATGGGAGTTCACTCTTGAGTTGGCTCTCTGTTTATCTATTATTGGTGTATAGGAATGCTTATGATTTTTGCACATTGGTTTTGTATCCTGAGACTTTGCTGAAGTCGTTTATCAGCTTAAGGAGTTTTGGGGCTGAGACATTGGGGTTTTCTAAATATACAATTATGCCATCTGCAAACAGAGACAATTTGACTTGCTGTCTTCCTATTTGAATACCCTTTATTTTTTTTCTCTTACCTGATTGCTCTGGCCAGAACTTCCAATACTGTGTTGAATAGGAGTGGTGAGAGAGAATATCTTTGTCTTCTGCCAGTTTTCAAAAGGAATGCTTCCAGTTTTGCTTATTCAATATAATGTTGGCTGTGGGTTTGTCATAAATAGCTCTTATTATTTTGAGATATGTTCCATCAATACCTAGTTTATTGAGTTTTTAGCCTAAAGGGTGTTGAATTTTATTGAAGGCCTTTTCCGCATGTATTGAGATAATCATGTGGTTTTTGTCATTGGTCCTCTTATGTGATGGATTATATTTATTGATTTGCCTGTGTTGACCAGCCTTGCATCCCAAGGATGAAGCTGACTTGATCATGGTGTATAAGCTTTTTGATGTGCTACTGGAATCGGTTTGCCTGTATTTTATTGAGCATTTTTGCACCAATGTTCATCAGCGATATTGGCCTGAAATTTTCTTTATTTCTTTTTTTTTTTTTTGTACCTCTGCCAGGTTTTGGTATCAGGATGATGCTGGTGTCATAAAATGAGTTAAGGAGGAGTCCCTCTTTTTCCATTGTTTGGAATAGTTTCAAAAGGAATGGAACCAGCTCCTCTTTGTACCTCTGGTAGAATTTGGCTGTGAATCCGTCTGGTCCTGGGCTTTTTTTGGTTGGTAGGCTATTAAGTATTGCCTCAATTTCAGAACTTGTTATTGGTCTATTCAGGGATTCGAATTCTTCCTGGTGCTGTCTTGGGAGGGTGTACATGTCCAGGAACTTATCCATTTCTTCTAGATTTTCTAGTTTATTTGTGTAGGGGTGTTTATAGTATTCTCTGATGGTAGTTTTTATTTCTGTGGGATCAGTGGTGATATCTCCTTTATCATTTTTTATTGTGTCTATTTCATTCTTCTCTCATTTCTTCTTTATTAGTCTGGCTAGTGGTCTATCTATTTTGTTAATATTTTTGAAAAACCAGCTGCTGGATGTGTTGATTTTTGGAAGGGTTTTCCATGTCTCTATTTCTTTCAGTTCATCTCTGATCTTAGTTATTTCTTGTATTCTTGTACCTTTTGAATTTGTTTGCTCTTGCTTCTCTAGTTCTTTCAATTGTGATGTAAGGGTGTTGATTTTAGATCTTTCCCACTTTCTCCTGTGGGCATTTAGTGCTATAAATTTCTCTATTAACACTGCTTTAGCTGTGTCCCAGAGATTCTGGAACATTGTCTTTTTGTCCTCGTTGGTTTCAAAGAACTTCTTTATTTCTGCCTTAATTTCGTTATTTACTAAGTAGTCATTCAGGGGCAGGTTGTTCAGTTTCCATGTAGTTGTGCGGTTTTGAGTGAATTTCTTAATCTTGAGTTCTAATTTGATTGCACTGTGGTCTGAGAGAGTGTTTGTTATAATTTCTGTTCTTTTGCATTTGCTGAGGAGTGTTTTACTTCCAATTATGTGGTCTATTTTAGAATAAGTGCTATGTATATTCTGAGAAGAATATATATTCTGTTGATGTGGGGTGGAGAGTTCTGTAGGTGTCTATTAGGTCCACTTGGTCCAGTGCTGAGCACAAGTCCTGAATGTCCTTGTTAATTTTCTGTCTCCATTGACCCATCTAATGTTGACAGTGGAGTGCAAAAGTCTCCAACTATTATTGTGTGGGAGTCTAAATCTCTTTGTAGGTGTCTAAGAACTTGTTTTATAAATGTGGGTGCTCCTGTATTAGATTCATATATATTTACGATACTTAGCTCTTCATGTTGCACTGATCCCTTTACCACTACGTAATGCCCTACTTTGTCTTTTTTTTATCTTTGTTTGTTTAAAGTCTGTTTTATCAGAGGATAGGATTGCAACCCCTGCTTTTTTTCACTTTCCATTTGCTTGTTAAATCTTCCTCCACCTCTTTATTTTGAGCCTATATGTTTCTTTCCATGTGAGATGGGTCTTCTGAATACAGCACACTGATGGGTCTTGACTCTTTATCCAATTTGTCAGTCTGTGTCTTTTAACTGGGGCATTTAACCCATTTACATTTAAAGTTAATATTGTTATCTGTGAATTTGATCCTGTCATCATGGTGCTAGCTGGTTATTTTGCACATTAGTTGATACAGTTTCTTGGTAGTGTCTTTGGTCTTTATATTTTGGTGTGTCTTTGCAGTGGCTTGTACTGGTTCTTCCTTTCCACATTTAGTGCTTCCTTCAGGAGCTCTTGTAAGGCAGGCCTGGTGGTGACAAAATCCCCCAGCATTTGCTTGTGTGTAAAGGATTTTACTTCTTCTTCACTTATGAAGCTTAGTTTAGCTGGATATGAAATTCTGGGTTGAAAACTCTTTTCTTTAAGAATGTTGAATATTGGCCCCCATCCTCTTCTGGCTTGTAGGGTTCCTGCAGAGAGATCTGCTGTTAGTCTGTTGGGCTTCCCTTTGTGGGTAACCTGACCTTTTTCTCTGGCTGCCCTTAATATTTTTTCCTTCATTTCAATGTTGGAGAATTTGACAGTTATGTGTCTTGGGGTTGCTCTTCTCAAGGAGTATGTTAGTAGTTCTCTGTATTTCCTGAGTTTGAATATTGGCCTGTCTTGCTAGGTTGGGGAAGTTCTCCTGGATAATATCCTAAAATGTGTTTTCCAACTTGATTCCATTCTCCCCATCACTTTCAGGGACCCCAGTCAGTCATAGGTTTGGTCTTTTTCTATAGTCCCATATTTCTTGGAGGCTTTGTTCCTTTTCATTCTTTTTTCTCTAACCTTGTCTTCACACCTTATTTCAGTAAGTTGACCTTCAGTCTCTGATATCCTTTCTTCCACTTGATTGATTTGGCTATTGATACTTGCTTATATTTCATGAAGTTCTCGTGCTGTGTTTTTCAGCTCTATTAGGTCATTTATGTTCTTCTCTAAACTGGTTATTCTAGTTATTAGTTCATGTGGCCTTTTTTTTTTTTAAAGGTTTTTAGCTTCCTTGCATTGGGTTAGAACAAGCTTTTTTAGCTCAAGAGTTTGTTATTACCCCCCTTCTGAAGCTTACTTCCATCAATTCCTCAAACTCATTCTGTGTCCATTTTTGTGCCCTTACTAGAGAGGATCTGGGATAATTTGGAGGAGAAGAGGCATTCTGGTTTTTTAAATTTTCAGCATTTTTGCACGGTTTTTTCCTCATCTTAGTGGATTTATCTACCTTTGTACTTTGAGGCTGATGACCTGTGGATGAGATTCTGTGTGGGGGTCCTTTTTGTCGATGTTGATGTTATTGCTTTCTGTTTGTTAGGTATTCTAACAGGCAGGCCCCTCTGCTGCAGGTCTGCTGCAGTTTGCTGGAGGTCCACTGCAGACCCTATTTGCCTGGGTATCACCAGCAGAGGCTGCAGAACAGCAAAGATTGCTGCCTGCTCCTTCCTCTGGAAGTTTCGTCCCAGAGGGGCATGGACCTGATGCCAGCTGGAGCTCTCCTGTATAGGTGTCTGTCAACTCCTGTTGGGAGGTCTCTCCCAATCAGGAGGCATGGAGGTCAGGGACCCACTTGAGGAGCAGTCTGTCTCTTAGCAGAGCTCGAGCTCTGTGCTAGGAGAACCTTCCTTCTCAGGATCTGCTGCTCTCTTCAGAGCCAGCAGGCAAAACTGTTTAAGTCTCCTGAAGCTGTGCCCTACAGCCGCCCCATCCGCCAGCTGCTCTGCCCCAGGGAGATGGGAGTTTTATCTATAAGCCCCTGACTGGAGCTGCTGCCTTTCTTTCAGAGATGCCCTGCCCAGTGAAGAGGAGTCTAGAGAGGCAGTCTGGCCACAGCTGCTTTGCCGTGCTGTGTTGAGTTCCACTCAGTCTGAACTTCCAAGCCCCTTAGCGCTGTCAGGGAAAAACTGCCTACTCAAGCCATAGTAATGGTGATGCCCTTCTCCCACCAAGCTCGATTGTCCCAGGTCAAATTCAGAGGGCTGTGTTGGCAGCGAGAAATTTCAAGCCAGTGGTTCTTAGCTTGCTGGGCTCCATTGGAGTTGGCCCCTCTGAATGAGACCACTTGGCTCCCTAGCTTCAGCCTCCCTTTCCACAGGAGTGAACAGTTCTGTCTCGCTGGGGTTCCAGGTGCCTCTCAGTTGGAAATGCAGGAATCACCCATATTCTGCGATGGTCTCGCTGGGAGCTGCAGACTGGAGCTGTTGCTATTGGGCCATCTTTCCAGATCCCCCAAGAAAGAGATTTATTATAAGGAATTGGCTCAGATGATTCTGCAGATCTTGGAACTTTCTCAATGCATAGCTCCAATCTGAGTCCATAGGCCTAAGAATGAGGAGAGCTGATAGTGTAAGCTCCAGTCCCAAAGCTGGCAGGCTTAGGACTCAAGAGCCAATGTTTCAGTTCAGGTCTGAAGGCTGGAAAAAATCAATATCCCAACTCAAGACAGCCAGGCAGGAGGAGTTATCACTTACTCAGGCTTTTTTTTTTTTTTTTTTAAATTCAGGTCTTTAACTGATCAGATGAGGCACACCTACATCAGAGAGGTCAATCGGCTCTATGCAGTCTACCGATTCAAATATTAATCTCATCCAGAAACACCCTCACAGACATACTCAGAATAATTGGCCAAATGTCTGGGCAATTTGTGGCCCAGCCAAGCTGGCATATAAAATTAATCATCATGGCGGTGATAAATAAAAGTTTGTTGTTACATGATTAGATGGTAGTAATAACTAGAATTTAATCCAACTCTGTAAAATAGAAAAGGCTTTGCTTTTATTAACTGTGTTACATTATTAGTATTTTCTTTCACACCCAGAGTCTTCCTTGTAATGCTTCCTTCTTCCTTTACATTTCTACAACCATCCTAATTTAGGATGTCTTTATTGCATGCCCAGACTATTGAAGTGATCTATAAATTGATATTTCTTCTTCCAGTCTATCCCTGACTCTCCCTTCCCATGTATCTCTGGCAAAGTCACTAGATTAATGTTCTTAAAAATATTTTGCCATGATATTTGCTAGCTAAGGAATTTATACCATCTCCCCAACCTTACAGATGAAATGTGAATATCTCAACGTAGACATTAAGACATTTTGTGTTAAGGCTCCACTTGTGCAGGTAATTAATATGCATTTTGCCTGGAGTCAAAATTTTGAAGTGTAAGGCATAAGGCAAAAATTGCATATGGCCAAAATTACCCTTAAAATTTCAAATTTTTCTATGTAGTGTGGTATATACAATTTATATTTATGGCAACATAAACAATTCTTATATGGACTAAAATTTAGATGCTTGCCAAGCTAGATAAAAGGGGAGTCTGTAACAGAAATTTGGAAATGCCAGATTGTTATATACCTACTAGTGAATTTATGTATAGGTAGATCATTTGATACTTTTCCTACTTGCTCCCTGAGTTGTTTCATTATTCATGCTCTTTAATCTTAATATACATTAAATAAATATATATTTATTTTGAAAATTAAGTGAGGTGGTGGAGCTGCATGTGTGTGCGTTGGGAGGCACAGTGGGTGTGTGATGTTGGTGAGGATGGTGGTGGGAAAATAAGTTCTTTCTAAAGTCACCTGTAAGTGAAGTGTACTTAAGATGTGACCCCATTTTACTGCCTTATTTTCCACATATTTGTGTTCAGATGGAATGCCTTTTTTCTCAATAGCTCAAGGGTGCAGTGGCTGTAACACACAATGCTACTTAATGTGCCTCTCTATTCCAGTAAATTTCCCTGCCCACAAAGAAGTATTTCTGGTTGTGGACTAAATATCTTGAGACATTAATAGAGGGACTTCTACTTCAGTACACATGCTGGTGGGGAGGCAATGAACTGGAACTTTCTAGAAAGTGTGCAGTCTGTAAGCTCAAACTTGTCCTTGCCTATGTTACTTTTCCTTAAAAGTCATTGGCACATTTAATCTTTTCTCCTCATCAACTAAAAGTATTAGTACATGTCACTATTTCTTTACTGGTGATAACAAATCTAAGTAGTTTTTACAAGATAATATTTTTGAGAATATTTTGATAATATTTTTACACCCTATAGGTGTAACCTAGTAGGGGAGGAAGAAATCTTTAGATATTAATATTACTGAAAGAAAGAAGGTAAATCATTACAAGCTAAAGTCAGCCAAAGTATATTGTGCTACAAAGAGCAGTGGATTAGAGATACTCTGTTCTTGTATAGAGAACCCAGAAATAAGACTGCACACCTACAGCTATCTGATCTTCAACAAACCTGACAAAAACAGCAATCAGGAAAGGATTCCCTATTCAATAAATGGTGCTGTGATAACTGGCTAGCCCTATGCAGAAGATTGAAACTGGACCCCTTCGTTACACCATATACAAAAAATCAACTCAAGATGGATTAAAGACTTAAATGTAAAACCCAAAACTATAAAAACTCTCTAAGATGACCATTCAGAACGTGGGCACAGGCAAAGATTTCATGACAAAGATACCAAAAGCAATAGCAACGAAAGCAATAGCAACAAAAGCAAAAATTGACAAATGGGATCTAGTTAAAGAGCTTCTGTATGGCAAAGGAAACTATCATCAGAGTAAACACAATCTACAGAATGGGAGAACATTTTTGCAAGCTATGCATCCAACACAGGACCAAAATCCAGCATCTATAAGGAACTTGAACAAATTTACAAGAGAAAAACAACCTCATTAAAAAGTGGGCAAAGGACATGAACAGTTACTTTTCAAAAGAAGATGTACATGTGGCCAATAGTCAATCATATGGAAAAAAAGTTCAACATTACTGATCATTAGTGAAATGTAAATCAAAACCACAATGAGGTACTATCTCACACCAGTCACAATGGCTATGATTAAAAAGTCCAAAAGTTAAAGATGCTGGCCAGATTGTGGAGAAAAAGGAATGCTATACATTACTGGTGGGAGTGTAAATTAGTTCAGCCATTGTGGAAGACAGTGTGGTGCTTCCTCAAAGACCTTAAGAGAGAGCTACCATTCAAACCAGCAATCCCATTACTGTGTGTAAACTCAAAGGAATAGAAATCATTAAATTATAAATACACATGCATGCATGTGTTCATTACAGCACTATTCACAATAGCAAAGACATGGAATCAACTGAAATGCCCATCAATAATAGACTGGATAAAGAAAATGTGGTACATATACACCTTGGAATACTATGCAGTCATAAACAATAATGAGATCATGTCTTTTGCAGGAAGATGGATGGAACTTGAGGCCATTGTCCTTAGCAAACTAACACAGGAAGAGAAAACCAAATACTGTATGTTTTCACTTATAAGTAGGAGCTAAATGATGAGAACACATGGACACAAAGAGGGGGACAACAGACATTGGGGCCTTTTGGAGGGTGGACGGTGGTGGGAGAAGGAAGAAGATTAGGAAAAAATAATTGATACTAGGCTAATTCCTGGGTGATGAAATAATCTATACAACTAACCCCCATGATACAAGTTTGCATATGTAAAAATCCTGCACTTGTACTCCTGAACTTAAAAGTTAAAAAAATGAAAACACTTAAAAAAATTAAAAGAGAGATATTCTGCTCCTAGATCTTCCACAGGCTCTTTGGGGAGATCTTAGAAATGTCACACATCCTCATCTACCTTTAGTTTTCTTATCTTTAACCGAGGAATTCGGTGCTTTCCAATGTTCCTTCCCATTGTGTTCTATGTCTATGGTAGAAACACATTCATTGACAAGTTCAGCAGATGGTGGGTGTACTCTTTGCATGCCACATATTCAGAGAAATACCGACATTGTTCTTGTTGCAGATAATAGTGGAAGATGATGCTACCTGCTCATGTGCTTTTTGAGGCATTTGTGTGTCTACATTACAATATTGATGGAATCGACAATACAGTACAGGCCTAAAGGGAGTTATATATGTGAATAATTCTGTGAATCTGTACAGAGAATGGTGTGTGTGTGTATATATAAAATAAATGTCTGGGTTTTGAGCCATCTCTCCAGTGGCCTCCATCTGTGGAACATTGACTCATGTTGCTGCTTTAGATCATCCAAAACACACTGAACACAACAAAACCAGAGGAAGAGCCTTCTGCTTCCTATTCTTGGTCTTCAGCTGAAAATGACTTTACAGCTATAGATAAAAATAACCATCCTCAATTTATCTTTAGAGGATCTGAATGAAGTCTTTTTCTTGTTCGATATAAAAGCCCTTTTGCTCAAACTCATATTTGTCTTTTTATTTCATTTATCTTGGACTTCAAGAATTAAAGCGAGAAAAACTGTAAGGATATAGAAGGATATGGAAGGCCGAGATGATATCCTGACAGAAGGTCCATTTACAAAAAAATACATGTTCAGGAAATGAAAAAAAATAAAAGGTATCAGAGAGATACAAGTAATGCATGAATAAGGTTCATGAGAGTAAGGTAGAATTTTATTTTTCAGATTAAGGAGTTTTCTTGTTCAGGAAAAGATTTAGAATTTTAAGGAATTTTTTAAACTTAATTTTTGTACTATTTTAAAAGTTATAAGTAAGAAATGAACTATTTTATGAAAGTAATCTAATACCTTTGTGTACTTTATAAGGTCCTTCAACTGGAGTTTAAATACTATACTTTATTTAAAGTATAATAGTTCAAATATATACTTTAATATTATAGATATTCTAACTTGCAAATACAAAGGAAAACTAAAGTCTAAATATAACAAAGCTATTTTTTAAAATGAAGATTAGACTGTAATTCACTTTGGCAAATCCTTCCCATCTCTTTATAGCCACGAATCTACTCATAATATTTTTCAGTTGGAAATGAAAGATATTTTACTCCTTTTATTTTCACATTTAATTTTACTTCTCAATGTTAAAACAATATAATCTTTAAAATGCCAAGTTCTACAAGGATATATTGCATGAAAATAGTGAGAAAGTGCTCATAAGATACTAAAACATCTGGATAAAAAATGAAAACATTAAACTGTCAGGCAACTGTTTTGTTTTTGCAATGTTAAATATCCAGTTGTTTGGAAACATCCAGATGCTTGTCAGGCTGCAAAAACTTCCTAGTGGTGAAAGGATCTTTTATGTTGTATGTGAATGCATCAGGATGACTCATGGCTAGGATCAGGATCCAAAGGCATTGGTAGCTCTGATGGTGAGGTTCATCTTTTAGGACAGGAGTTGAAAGAAATGAGCTTTCTAGGTGGTTTAAAATCATTAGAAGCCCCTTGACAATGATGCACAAATAGCCCTTCATTATAGTCACATGGCATAAACTTCTTGCTTTTCCCAGTCAACCCATTCTATTTCTTACCCCAGCCCTGACCCAAACACACACTTTGTACTTTGCTCTCATGAGTGGGCCTTGACTGAGAAAGGTGATTGATAAGTCTTCAGGTTTTTCATATGAGATCCATTTTAATTTCTAAAGAATCTGAAGCTTTTGGTGTCTTGCCAGCTCTTTCCCTATTGTATTAGGCAGGGTCTAATCAGGAAACGGAAACCTCATAATAATTTGAATAGGGATGGTTTAAGATAAAGAGTTATTAACTGATAACAGATTAACTAAGAGGGGATAAATGAGAACTTAAATGACTGAAGGGGAGAGTACCCAAGGAGGGAATAAACCTGGAAGGGAAGAATTCATTCCAAGGCAAGGATTCAGACTTCAGTGGGTGGGTTGTAACTCACTGAATGGCAGTGGTTTGCTGAGTTGCCAAGTCCAGTGCTTATCCAAAATCAGTGGCTCAAGATGGCCAGGCAGAGAATTGCCTGCTGTGTGTCAGTGATATTAGCCAGGAAACTTCTCAGGAAAGGAAGATTCTTTGAATTTAACAGGAAGCCATTGCCAGGAAACTTTTGCTAGGAAGACATCGTGAAGCTGGGTGGGGCACTTCATGAAACCCACCTTCAGAAAGCGATCTGGGGTGTCCAAGGAACTTGCTTGGTAGCTGACTCAGAAGAGCCACTAAACTCACCAGGGGTGAATTCACTGAGTGAATACCAACGACTGCAGCAGAAGCAGGAAAAATAAAAGCATGCCAGATCCAGGAGAAGAAGACTTTCTTCCTGCAGGGTCATTTCATGTCTCTTCTGGCAAAGATCAACATCGTGCCAACTGCCAAGGGAGAAAGGTTTTAGTATCATGAGCAGGCAACAGAGGGTAGATTTGGAAGTGAGAGGCAATAAACTGACACATTCCTCCTTTGATATATGGTTAAATCAGGTTTGAGTGCAGTGGAATCATAAAGAAAAGTAAATCATAAACCAGGATCATGTAGCCTTACAGTGTAATATGGAGGATCAGTCCAGTCTTCACTGCCTCTGTGATTTAGGTTATGATTATATGTCTGTATCTGTGGATTTAAGAGAATATCAACTGAAAGAAAAACTGAGTACTATTGTGTACCTTCATGATAGAAAATTATTGCCAATTAAGCCATGATATTCCATTGGAGGATGCACCCTTATTTCTGAAATATTAAAATGTAGAAATATCTTAGAAATTTTTAAGTCTTTATTGTTGTAGAAGCAATAAGTTACGATAAAAGAGGACCATAGCTTTGGTAAGTAACCTCAGAAAATGGTCTCCCTTCTCCCTTCTTCTTTTTCCTTTGCCCCTTTACTTATTCAAACCTTAATCATCTTTTCAGGTTTTATATTTTTCCCACCTCCATGGAGACTTTGATACTTTGCCTCTCATTTTTCTCCCTCCTTATATACTCATCTTGACTTCTGACTACTCTTGAGAATATACGCTAATACTTTTTCCTAGTTGTTTCATGTGTGTTGAACTTGTCTTTCTACCTCCTTTGTAAATGCCTTGAAGAATCTCACTGGCAACTTTGTCTACATTTGTATAAAAAGTTTACTTGATTGATCAATAGCTTCAGTGAGGTGGGTAAAATTCTCCATCTGGGGATTAAAAATAAGTAACCCAATCATGCCAATGTTTATGAAGATCCCTGTTCCTATTTTACTTCACTCAATTAAAACATGGCTGGTTGAAAAATTTTGGTAATCATATTTATATTTAATCTGCACAAAATTGAACTTTGATTTCTATTGTCAAAGTTAGAGCCACAGCATGACAATATAAGATGAGTATATATGTGAAACTGGGCTGAATTGAGTGGCTTCAGCCTTCCACCAACACCTGTTTCTCTGGAGTGTATAATGTTACCTGAAATCAATTCAAGGTCATTGTGTCTCCTTTGCCTCAGGTACAGGTCAAAGGTAATCTTTATCAGCCAGCAGATGCTATGTGACACCAAGGTCATTTCAAATATCCCTTATATCAAAGACCTTGCAAATTGCAAAGAAATAAACTAATATGTAGCTTTTCTCACTAGAGAAACTACTTGGAACAAGTCACATTGGAGGGAAATATGTTTAAAATAAGATTATTTTGTAAGAGCACATTTTAAACATTTTTAGTCATGACAGGGGAAGGTTGTTTTGTGATTTAATTTCCAACTATAAGAGTACAACTTAAAATCTGACAACTATACGTAAACCTTATAAAAGGTCCTTTGAGCAGCAAAGGGGAGTAAAGGGGGAGATGTCTCAGTAGTGAATTACTCTCTTGAATGAGTTTCTAGCAGAAGCAGACCGTAACTCTACAGTGAAGCTGGTATTGTTCTGTTGCTCTCCATTTACCCACCTTAAATGTATTGTTAATCAGAGTGGTGAATTTGAGGAACTGGAATGGCCCCAGTACTGCACCCATTATTTCATTCGCTCATCTTTTTGTCTGGTCATGCTGTTGACAGCCCAATCTATATCCTGACAACAGAGGTCTAGAAAGTACAAGTGTTTCTAACTCAATTTTTATTTCTTTAGTCTGAGGATGTTTCTTTTTAAAATAAATGCTTTGAATAAGCTATTTTTGAATGTAATTTTGGGAATTGAAGATTGAGGATGGTGAGAAGTTCCCAAGGCTAAAATGATCACCTCTGTTTCATTTAATCAATTTGAAAATCATAACTTTTAAAATGTAAGTTCTAAAAATGTTGGAAGAAGGCTTTGTATTGTGAGATACAGCTCATTTAAAACTTTCCAGGCTCTTCTAGTTCACTAAAATTTTGTTCTTTTATCTGTGGTTACAACATGAGTCATAGGGTGACAAGAGGTGATGTAATTCTTGGGCAATGTAATAGGGCTTTGAGTCATTATTGAAGTTTTGGCCAGTATCATAATCCAAAAGGCCAGCCTTCCCACCCATGCCTGGCATGTTCACCTTCTGATTCTCATGTGATCACCCTCTGCTCATCATGTCTTCACATAATAGACATAACTATATTTTCCCTTGGATCCTGTGTGCAGCCTGAGTCCTTCTCAACCCAGAGCTCCAAGAAACCACTCCCAATTGATAAAGCTGGCTGGAAGATGACACTTATTAGCTATCCCAGATCTTGTGGTCTATGGACTTTTTGGGGCTGATAGTGGTGGAGGTGGTAGTGATGACAATTATAAGCACTTTCAAGTTTATAATCTGTTCTCACAGATACTGTTTCATTGAATGAAGCCATCCTTTAAATGAGGTATAAATGAAGAGCTGAAATTTCATTCATCTTTTGTGTGTGTGTGTGTGTGTGTGTGTGTGTGTGTGTCTGTGTCTGTGTCTGTGTATCAGTTTCATTTAGTTCTGCCCTTATCTTGCTTATTTCTTTTCTTCTGCTCTGTTTGAGTTTGATTTGTTCTTGTTTCTCTAGTTCCTTGAGGTGTGACTTTAGATTGTCTATTTGTGCTCTTTCAGACTTTTGATGTAGGCATTTAATCCTGTGAACTTTCCTCTTAGTATCACTCTTCCTGTATCTCAAAGGTTTTGATAGTTAGTGTCACTATTATGGTTTAGTTCAAAGTATTTTTTAATTTCCATCTTGATTTCATTGTTGACCCAATGATCATTTAGGAGCAGGTTATTTAATTTTCTTGGTTTAGAGGGTTCCTTTTGGAGTTGATTTCCAATTTTATTCCACTGTAGTCTGAGAGAGTACTTGATATAATTTTAGTTTTCTTTTCTTGTTTTGTGACCTATCATATGGTTTATCTTAGAGAGTGTTCCATATGCTGATGAATAGAATGTCTGTTTTGCAGTCATTGGGTAATGTTCTGTAAATATGTGTTACGTTTATTTTTTCTAGGGTATAATTTAAGTCCATTGTTTCTTTCTTGATTTCTGTCTTTATGACTCATCTAGTGCTGTCAGTGAAGTACTATATCCCCGACTACTACTGTGTTGCTGTCTATCTCATTTCATAGATCTAGTGATAATTTTTTAATAAATTTGGGAACTCAAGTGTTACGTGAATATATATTTAGAATTGTGATATTTTCTGTTGGAGTAGTCCTTTTATCGTTATATAATGTTCCTCTTTGACTTTTTAAACTGCTGTTGCTTTAACATTTGTTTTGCCTGATATAAGAATAGATTCTCATGCTGGGTGTGGTGGCAACTGCCTGTAATCCCAGCACTTTGGGAGGCCGAGGTGGGTGGATCACTTGAGGTCAGGAGTTTGAGACCAGCCTGGCCAATGTGGTGAAACCCTGTCTCTACTAAAAATACAAAAATTAGCTGGGTGTGGTGGCAGGCCCCTGTAATCCCAGCTACTTGGGAGGCTGAGGCAGGAGAATCACTTGAACCTAAGAGGCAGTGGTTGCAGTGAGCTGAGAATGTGCCACTGCACTCCAGCCTGGGTAACAGAGCAAGACTGTCTCAAAAGAAAACAAAACAAAAAAATACAAAATAGCTAATCCTGCTAGCTTTTGGTGTTTCTTTGCATGGATTGTCTTTTTCAATCCCTTTAAGTTTATGTGTGTCCTTATGTGTCAAGTGAATCTCTTAAAGACAGCAAATACTAGGTTGATGAGTTCTTATCCATTCTGTATCTTTTTAGTGGAGCATTTAGGCTACTTACATTCAACATTAGTATTAAGATGTGAAGTACTATTCTATTCATTGTGCTATTTGTTGCTATTTTTTGTCATTGTGTTATCATTTTATAGGTCCTGTGATATTTATGCTTTAATAGATTCTATTTTGGTGCATTTTGAGGATTTGTTTGAAGATTTAGAGCTCCTTTTAGCAGTTCTTGTAGTGCTGGTTTGGTAGTGGTAAATTCTGTCAGCATTTGTTTGTCTGAGAAAGACTATTTTTCCTTCATTTATAAAGCGTAGCTTCACTAGATACAAAATTCTTGACTGATAATTGTTTTGTTTAAGGAGGCTAAAAGTAGGGCCCCAATCCCTTCTAGCTTGTAGGGTGTCTGCCAAGAAATCTGCTGTTAATCTGATAGATTTTCCTTTGTATGTTACCTAACGCTTTTGCCTCACAGCTCTTACTATTGTATCCTGTCTAGACTTTAGATAACCTGATGACTATGTGCCTAGGCAATGATCTTTTTACAATGAATTCCCCAGGTATTCTTTGAGCTTCTTGTAGTTGAATGTCTAGATCTCTAACAAGGCTAGGGAGGTTTTCCTTGATTATCCCCTCAAATATGTTTTTCAAACTTTAGATTTCTCTTCTGTTTTGGGAACACTAATTATTCTCATGTTTGATTACTTAACATAATCCCAAACTTCCTGGAGGTTTTATTCATTTAAAAAAATTATTTTCTTTGTCTTTGTCAGATTGGGTTAATTCAAAAGCCTTGCCTTTGAGCTTTGAAGTTCTTTCTTCTGCTCATTTGATTCTATTGCTAAGACTTTCCAGTGCACTTTGTATTTCCCTAAGTGCGTCCTCGACTTCCAGGAGTTGTGATTTTTCTTTTCTTTTAATTTATGATATCTATTTCACTGGAGATTTTTCCATTCATATCCTGTATCTTTTTTTATTTTTTTCATTTCTTTAGGTTGGACTTCACCTTTCTCTGGTGCCTCCATGGTTGGTTTAATAGACCTTCTGAATTCTTTTTCTGGCAATTCAGAGTTTACATCTTGGTTTGGATCCATTGCTGGTGAGCTAGTGTGACCTTTAAGGGGTGTTAAAGAACTTTGTTTTATCATGTTACCAGAATTGTTTTTCTGTTTTTTTCTCATTTGGGTAGACTGTGTCAGAAGGAAGATCTGGGACTCAAGGGCTGCTGTTCAGATTATTTTGTCTCTCAGGGGTGCTCCCTTGATGTAGTATTTTCCCCCTTTTCCTAGGATTGGGCTTCCTGACAGCCAAACTGTAGTGTGTGTTATTTCTCTTCTCGATCTAGCCACTCAGCAGAGCTACCAGGCTCTGGGCTGGTACTGGGGAGCGTCTTCAGCGTCCTGTGATGTGATCCATCTTCAGGTCTCTCACCCGTGGATACTGGCACCTACTCTTGTGGAGGCAGCAGGGGAGTACAGTGGACTCACTGTTCTGGCCATCTGAGTGGGAGCTGCAAGTTAGTCCTGCCTCCTATCCACCATTTTTTCTGAATCTCCATTGGTGGTTTTTAATCGTAAGAATGACGTAATCTGATTTCTGTTTTAAGAGATCACCATGGCTGCTGTGTGGAGAAAGATCACTAGGGGGAAAGAGGAGAGGCAGAGAGAGAGAGAACAGTTAGGAGGCTTTTCTTGTATTCAGGTGGGAAGTAAGGAGACACAGATTGAGTTACAGGCAGAAAGCTGATGAAAAATGGTTGGATCCTGAATAATTATTGGAAGTAGAGCTGTCAGGCCTTTCTGATGGTTTGGAAGTGTAGAATAAGGAAAAGAGAAATAAAGTGTGATTCTTAAGTTTTAGAATTGAACAACTGGGTGGATGGTAATGCCATTTACTGAGATGAGAGGGGGTTTCTGGAGAGGAGTAGATTGGCTAGGGTAAGCATTTGTTCTGTTTTGGTGACATTAAATTTCAGATGCTTATGAGATATCCAAATGGAAATGGCACTAGGCAGATGTAAATTTGAATTTAGTGTCTCTAAGAATCCTGATGTCTTTGCCTTATAAAAAATAACATATTAATTAAATTGAGGTCTGGCAAGTAGGTCTCTCAAAGCTGCATAAAATTCAAGCTCCTTAGCTAGGCATTTAAAGCCACTCTTTGCCTACTTTCTTACCTCTTCAATCTCTATTCCTCTTGCATGATCTATAGTATAGCATATTAAGCATTTGTACTTCCCCAGATGCATTGGTGGCATATTCATCCGTGTCTTTGCTCGTATTCCTTCTATTTTCAATTTCTTTCTTCCCTCTTTCCATTTGGCTAATTTCTACTTATTCTTTAAAACTCAGCTTTGTTGCCACATCATCCTTGACTTTTCCTAATTCTCCTGGTGTTTGATGGCTTCTTCTACTGTATACTGGTACCCACAGCCTCCTTCACTGTAATACTTGCCATGTAGTATGATCATTTCTCAATTATCTGCTGGAGTGAAAACTTTATTAATTAAAAAATTGTCTTTATTCATGTTCCTTTAGCAATCAGAGTGACTGGAATTTATAGGCAATCAAACTGGCTGTTGAAAGACTGAACATTTGTTTATGAATTTTAAACCTCTGCAGAAGCTATAGTGTAGAATATTCTACACAGTCCAGATCTTTGGGAATTCTTTCTGAGTAGACAGGACAAGAAAGGACCAACATGAAGATTACTTCTTTAAGGTAGTCCAGAAAGTGATTTAAGTGTCCAGAAAGTCTTTTTAAACAACTTTTTAGTGATTCATTTTTTGAGAGCTATACATTTCCCTCTTAGTTTCTCTTGAAAAAATACAAATTTTGAGGAGAGAAAATGACACAAAATCATTAACTACATGAAAGATAAGTTTATACAGTGGAAAGAACACTGGACCAGGAGTCTAGAGTTCTGGACTATCTGTAGTCTCAACTCTTAAGGCAGAAACTCAGTCATAATGACAAGGCTGTGAGGGTGAGTGGAAAATATGGGAATTACTGTACCTCTGTAGGTCCATAAGTGACATGAATTACCCAGAGAAGCAAGGTATATGACTACGGGATGGAGTCTGAAATACTCTTGAAGGCCTTGGGGTAGCAGAAAAAGGGTATGCAAAAATAGGATGAGAAGAAAGAATTACTATTGAGGGAGGGTTAAAGGGCACAAATGATTTCACTAGAGAATTATCTTTGGAGAAAAATAATAGTTTTTGTTGCTCTCAGCCAGTCATAGAGGACATTATGCTTTGAAAAGGCAGTCCTGATGCTGAGAATTTTTTATATTTCATGTTCCTTCATTTTCAAGTGAAGCCTGGCCAAATGGGAGAGACAGCTTCCAATCCCATTCTTAATTGATAGCCTTGTTGTAGATTGTGTTCTGAGGTTCCTAATTGTCTCAGAGAGGATTTGTTCAAATTATTCAAATTTCCATGCCCAAAATCATTTCCAGATGCTGAAAGCTTACAGCCAGCCCTTTTCTTGTGCAATTTTGAGAGAGAGAGAGAGAGAGAGAGAGAGAGTTGAATATTATCATTAGTAATACCATATAATAGGACTACTAAGAATCTTGGCACCAACCTTTCATTCATTTTCAGTGTCATGGGAGAGAGATTTATTTGAACTCCTGCAGAGCTGCCTAAGCCCTGCATCTTTCAGAAAGAGGCAGAAATGAATGCTTTAATGCTCTCCTCTATAGTGGGTCTATGGAGATAGCATAGGTAAGTCCTTAGCAGAGCCTATTAGCCTTGGCACCAAAACCTGTGTTATAAGACTATTCATATAATATTTATTAGTTCCAACAGCAATGGGTAGCTTATATGTGTCAAAATATAATGAATGGAACCCTGTGTTTCCCCTACCCTCAAAAAAAATGAAGAGGGAGTAAATGTAAGCTCTTTCTGGGACGCAAAAGCTGAAAGAAGAAAAATAAGAGGATTGCTTGTGTTGCCTGGCATTCAAAGCCCTGTATTTCAATGCCAGCCTCCTTTTATAGCTTTCTCTCCTTATTGCTCTCCTACATGAATTCTCTACATCAGCAAGGTTGGTCTACTTATTGTCACTCAAACATGAATTTTCTATTCCCACCTTACTAGCTTTCCAAATGCCATTATACTTACCCAATACATATTTCTCTTTCCCCTCCATTTATTTAAAATACTAAGTCTTCCAAGGACTGGCTTATATTCTATCTTCTAAGTAAAGTCCTCCCTGTTTCCTGAAGTTAACAATTCTCTCTTTGTCTCTCTCTCTGTCTCTCCACCTGCCACATCTGAATCTGGAATCTTTCATTTAGTTAGGCCTTAACCTGTTCTGAGTATTGTGGTACCAAGCTTGACCCTAGTGACAAAATGATAAGCAAATCAGACAAATCTTTCCCTGACCATATGGGAACTCTTAATCTAGTAGGGTGAAAAGATGTCAATCAGTTGTCAAATTATAGCTACTACTTATAATGCTTACTATGTTCCAAGGGCTTCATTTGATATAACTTTGGTTAATCCTTAACAACAACTTTATTGGAGCTTGTATTGTACTTCATGAGATAGCCTCTGTGTTTTTCCAGTTTTACATAAGGGAAAATAAAGGTTGAGGGGTTAAGTAACTTGCCCAAGACCATCCAAATGCTGAAGCAGTTTCTGAACTCAGTTGGTCATAACCGGTAGGCACCATTTCCCTAGGTACTTACACTTCCATTTGCTTTAACCTTTACTGACTGCCTTGTGTTATAATTAACTCATATGCATACATATCTTGTCTCCTCAACTACCTTACAGTGCAAGGTCCGTAAGGAAACTTGACCATGTCTTAGAAAGCAGTTAGGAATGCAGGCTTTGGAAACAGACAAATCTGTATTTAAATCCCTGGTACCCTGGCTGTGTGACTGGGTAAAAATTAACCTCTCTGATCTTCTGTTTCCTTATTTGTAAAACAGACAAAATAATAACCATGAGGAGGCAATTAAGGGTTAATTGCCTGGCACACGGTACATGAAAGCTAATGTTCTTTGAGCCTCTACCCTTCACCTCCTAGCACAATGGTTGACACACGGCACTGCAATTATCTTTCTTGAATGACTAAATGTAGTGAAAACCTAAACATTCAAAATAATCCTCCAAAAGATCCCTTTGACAGTTAATTTTTATTACAACATATTTTTCTAAGGCATGCAGTTCTATTATTTTAAGGTACATAATATGGCATAAACTAATCAGAAAGTACAGAAAATTTAATATATAAGGATTTGATTAATTTGAACTTGGTTAATTTCAGGTGAAATTTGAGAACTTACCTTGATGTAAATGTAATAAATAATAACCATTTGTTCTTAGCACATACATACTTTTGACTACATAGCATGTAAAAATTTTCATATATTAAATATTCTAATTTGATTTTTATTAATACAAAATTACTTAATAAGCACCTAGTGTGTGCAATATGTTCAAGAAATTTACAATTAAACTTTTTGGTAGTTTCAAAGTTTCCCAGATTATTAAATTCTTGTTTAAATGATCATATAAGGGTCAGCCTAGTCTTCGTCTGAATTATCACAAATTCTTAAACAATTACGTTCAAATAAATAAAA
This sequence comes from Homo sapiens, assembly GCF_000001405.40. Taxonomy (NCBI): domain Eukaryota; kingdom Metazoa; phylum Chordata; class Mammalia; order Primates; family Hominidae; genus Homo; species Homo sapiens. The sequence goes on along the minus strand of NC_000018.10, from coordinate 53,788,962 downwards.
TGTTGTTTCTGAAATACTCCACATTTTCTTTAAGGGACTTAAAAAGAATGTAAAAATTTGGCTGGGAGCAGTGGCTCACCATTGTAATCCTAGCACTTTGGGAGGCCGAGGCAGGCAGATCCCCCGAGGTCAGGAGTTCAAGACCAGCCAGGCCAACATGGTGAAACCTCATCTCTACTAAAAATACAGAAATTAGCCAGGCGTGTTGGTGCATGCCTGTAGTCCCAGCTACTCAGGCGGCTGAGGCAGGAGAATCGCTTGAACCCAGGAGACAGAGGTTGCAGTGAGCTGAGATCGTACCACTGCACCCCAGACTGGGTGACAGAGCAAGACTGTGTCTAAAAAAAAAAGAAAAAAAAAGTTGTAAAAATTTAATCTACCTTAATGAATTTCTAAATGTTTGGAAACTTTCCAGATATGTTTCTGAAATTGATTTCAGTTTAATTCCTCTAGGTTCAACAACATACTTTATTTCTATTCTTTTAAAGTTGTTAACGTTATTTTATGGCCTACAATATGTCCCATTGTTGTGAATATTCCATGAGAAAATAACATTGAGAAAAATATGCATGCTGCTGTTGTAGGATAAAATGCTCTGTAAATATCCATAAGATGAAGGTGATTGATAGTGTTATTCAAATCTTCTATATCCTTATTAATTTTTCTCTCCACTTAGTTTGTTGATTGCTGAGAGAAGGAGAAGTACTGAAATCTGCTCTAATTATGGAGTTGTTTGTTTCTCCACTCTGTGCTGTCAATTTTTGCCTCATGTATTTGGAAACCCATTATTAGGTACATATACACTTAATATTATTATGCCTTATTGGCAAATGGATCCCTTTATTACTATGTAATGCCCTTCTTTATCCTAAGTAATATTGCTTGTTTTGAAGCTTACTCTGTGTAATATTAATATGGCAAACTCAGATTTATTTTAATTGATATATACATAGTGTGCCCTTTTTCCAGCCTTATACTTTAACCTATATATGACTTTACACTTAAAGTAGCTTTCTTATGAACAGCTGCTTTCTTGCTCTTTGTCTCATCTGTTTAACTGATATGTTTAGACCATTTACATTTAATGTTATTGATATGGTTAAATTGAAATCCATCACCTTTACAGCTAGTTTCTATTTGTCGCATCTGCTATTTATTCCCACCTCCACTTTTATCCTGTTTGCTTTTATATTAAATATTTTATTTCATTTATCTCCAGTATTTGTTAATGATTTATACTCTTTAAATTTTCTGTGGTTTCTTTGGATTTATCTTTAATCACAGTATAGCTAGTAATAATATTAACTGCCTCATGTGTAAAGTAAGGACTTTACAATGGCATACTTTCAATTCCTCTCTTTCATCTTTGTGCCATGGTTTCCATGTATTTTACTCCATACATGTTATAAACTCAAAACACATTGCTATATTTTTTGCTTTAGGCAGTCAACTATATTTAGTAGCAATTAAAAATTTTTCTTAAAAATTTTATATTTACCCTCATTTATGTTATTTCTAGATCTCTTCATTTCTTTGTGTAGATCCAAGTCTGTCTGGTATCATATCTCCTCTACTTGAACAAATTATTTTAACTTTTTTCATTTTGTAATGCAAATCTACTGAAAATGGATTCTCTCAATTTTTGTTAGTCTGACAAAGTCTTTATTTGTCCTTACATTTGGAAATATATTTTTGTTTGGTAGAGAATCCCAGTTTGACAGTGTTTTTTCTGCGCTTTAAAGATGTCACTCTGTTGTCTTCTGACTGTACAGACAAAATATCTGCTATAATTTTTACCTTTATTTTTATGTGTCTAATGTGTTCTTCCCCTCCCCCAACCTCCAATGACTGCTTTCAAAACTTTCACTTTTCTCTATTTTTTCTTAGCAGTTTGATTATGATTTGTCTAGGGGCATGTGTTTGTGTTTCCTTGTGCTTGGGGAGCCCTGAATTTTTTAGATTTGCGATATGATGGATTTTATTATTTCTGGAAATTCTCAGCTAGTATATTTTAAAATATTTCTTCCACCTTGTTTCCTTTCTCTCCTCTGAGGTGAAATATATATATAGAGAGAGAGACAGAGAAAGAGAGAGAGCCATCTGATGTCCAGATTTTGGAAGTTCTGTTCTGTTCGTTTTATCTTCTACTCTTTATTTTCTTTGTGTTTCAGTTCTGGTCATCTATTCAACTACCTTTAAGATCTTTGTTTCCTTCACTGTGCTGAAATAAGCAAAGGCCTTCCCTATCTGTTTATGCATGTTGTCCACCTTTTCCATCAGTATGTTTAACATACTAATAATATTTATTTTACATTCCCTCTTTGTTAGTTCCAACATCTGGTTCGTTCCTGAGCCTGGTTTTGCTGGTATTTTGTCCCTTGACAGTGGCTTGTTTCTTTTTCTTAATTTTTTGAGTGTCTCACAATTTTTTCTTAAAAGCTGGTCATTCTGTATGTGACAGTGGAGACTAAGATAAATAATATTTAGGCTTGGAAATGAGAACACCTTCTCTTTTGCTAAGAGAAGGATCTACAAAGTGGCTGGTTAAGTTAATCTCACTAGGAGTTGAGCTGAGTTTGAGTGATGTTGTTACTCTGGTTACTTTTAGTATATCATCAGCTTCAAATCCCTGCATATTTACCTTGTGCTCAGTCTGGGCAGTAGTTTTCTGGAAGGTTTTTATTCTCAGGGTCTCTTTAACCCTCAGTTTTAGGCCCTCCCTTTAGGCTTGTACCTCAGGGAGGTTTTTATGCTCTTGCCCATCCTTTAGCAATAGACTTCTGTTGCTTGTTACTCAATGCTTGATAGCATGGTAGGGGAGATTTTCAGGGGACTATTGTCCTAGACTACCCTCAGTGTTAGACCAACTCTGTGTTCCTTTTATCTGGGGTGGGGATATTTCAGTGATCTTGTCATTTTCTCAGAAAAAGAGAACTGCTACCTTTAACCAGGGTAGAGAGTTTTTCATTTTCCCCTTTCACACCCACAGTGTGCCTTTATCTGTACACTGGTGACAACAGGCTTTATTTCCCTTTCTCCAGTAACTTAAAGCTTTTGTTTTATAATGAAAACAAAAAAATTCCAGATAGGACCTTGTGTATTTCCTGGAGAGAGAGAGCCACTCTCCAGCTCCAGGCCTGTACCATAATGGAAGATTTCTCTTCCACCATGCCTCTGATCTTTCCTGTGATCACAGTGAAAAATCCTGCTAGTGAATTTTCAGCTTCCAGGGACTCCATATTCTCATACTAGCCCACATTCAGTCTTTAGCCATTAGTTAAAGGATTCTTCTTAAGCGCTTATAGGGAAGCATTGCTTTCCTTCTGTGCTCTGGGTGCTTGTGTCCCATTTTTCCATGGAGGTTCCTAACTTTTCTCAGATTTCAGGTGTGAGCTTACATGTCTACTGAGATCAAGAAATGTTATAATTTGGTAGCTTTTCTACTTTTTTTTGTTAGAGTGAGAGGATACTTTTAAGTTTTCTATATCCCAAGTGGAATGTAACCTCACTAAAAGTAAAATAAAATTATGCAGCCTTGAGTGAAAAATGCCAGTTTATAAGTTCTGTGGGACAAAGAGACGTCTTAGGACTGGAGTAAAAGGTGAATTCACTTGCAAAAAGTATAAAGGGAATGGTAAGAAGTAAAGCTAATATGCTCAGAAGGTGAGCCAAGTAAGAGAAAACAAGCATCAGGAGATCTAAAGGGGGAAGAGACAGGAATATATTGCAAGACGTCCTCTTGTCCCAGTGAGTCAGCAGTGACAAGTACGGTGAGAAAAGTTCAGAAATGTTTTAAAATGGCACATTCACGTGTTTAGGTTCATTGACACCTATAAAGGAAAAACAATATTTTCCAATTGTGAGGAGACTAAAAAATGAGAGATTTCACAGACTCTCAGGAGGTAAATAGTTTTTGCTGTCCTTGTACACCTCAGACTCACTATTTAGCATGTATGGGCATGAAGCAGAAAACAAAATCAAAGCAAAACAACCTACTATTTCAAAAAAGAACCAAATAGTACATCTGGCTGGTTATAGTGTGCATGAATGATAAAACTGCCTCTTACAATAATGACTTTCAGTTAATACTATTATTTATCCAATGAAATAATATACATAAACTGCTTTGTCCATGAATGGAATAAAAATAACTGTGAATTATTAGGATTATTACTGTTGCTTTATTTAGAAATTAATATAACCTGGTTTATGTTTCAGAATGAGCTCAATAATTGTCCACATCCAACCAAATACTGCTAATGTCACCATGACAGTTCTGTTAATGCTAATTCTATTTTGGTAATTTAAATAGCTTATGATGGACTAGTTGATGTCCCACCTTCTCCTTTAAGCTTTTCCTGATTCTTTTGACCTTCAATGATGGTCTAGGATTTCTCTGAATTCTTCTTGAGCCCACATTCCTCCAAGTAGCCCTAGACCATATACCATGTGACAGGATAAGTTTTGAAAGCTGTACTCTTCTCTTTTCTTATTGTTGAACTTCTTCTCCCTGCCAGATATGTAGATATCCATTGCCTTAGGGCGAGTTCATCACAGTAGAAACTTAGAGCAGAAATGTCAAATTCATTTTACTTGAGATTTAAATGTTGATTCCAGAAAAGATTTGGAGCAATATGTGAAGCAGTTATTTCACCCTGTGAGAGAGATTAGTCCAAACCTAGATCATCTAGTCTGTAATTGGGTGGAACTGTCTCAACTCTATACTGTTAAATCACCTGTGTCAAGGGGCCATGTTGTCATTCTCAATGTTAACGGTGAGGACTGCAGCCAGCAGGTCCAGTGACCATTCAGCAGGAAGCACAATCTTGGCTTCAGAACTACTTGGCCTATATATAAATCTCTCTATGCAGACAACCACCCTTTCAACAGACCAGAGTCCTTGAAACACCTGGAAAAGGAGAATGGGCTTTGGACATTTGAAGTGGTAATGGTGATATGAAAACCCATAAACTTTGAGCCTCTCCCTGACCTCCTACTTTCTGACCCATATCTGGGCAAATTGTAACTGCAGAGAATGACCTCTAGATCAATTTCCTCACTCCTTCCCAGCCAAGACAGGAGAGAAATTATAACTTTTAAGTATGACTTTCTGTTTCATGTTAATTAATCATTCCCCCTGTTCATTTTCTTGAAGTTAGTATCTCATATTTTCTTTTGACCAAATAAGTGCATCATATCAAGTGGGACACTCAAGTATCTAGTAAACAGTTGGCAGACTGACACTAGAGGCAGTGTGGTGGATGTTCTGGAAAGAGCACAAGGTTCTATTGAAGATTCAAACAGAAAATAGATGCATTTTTGTTAACTATTACGGTGTACAAACCAGAATTTAGTAGCTTAAAACAAACATCATTATTTTTGCTTATCTTTTTGTGAATTGGAAATTTGGGCTGGGATTGCGTTGGTGTTTTTCCTGGTGGTCTTACCTGTGGTCATTTACGTGCCTGCTATCATCTCGTGTCTTCACTGGGGCTGGATAGTCCATGATGGCCTCATTTTAATGACTGATGATTTTTTACCTCTCTCTGTTTCTCTCTCTCTCTCTCTTCCACACAGTCTCTTATCTGCTAAGAAACCAGCACTGGCTTTCTGTATGGTGGTCTCAGGGCAGCAAGAGGGCAAGAGTTCAAGCTGCAAAATCTGCAAGGCCTCATGTGACTGAAGCTCAGGAATCCCCTAGTCACTTCTACCACATTTTACTTGATAAAACAAGTACAAGACCAGACTAGATGCAAGAGGATGGAAAATAAACTCTACTTCTTGACAGAAAGAGTGGCAAAGTCACACTGCAAAAAGACCTGCCCATAGACATGGGAGAAATTATTGAGACCATCTTTGCAAATGAACTGTGGCATATATGTAAAAGCTTTTAACATAGTGCTTTCCCTTACTTTAGTAGACAGAATAAATGGCAGCAATGAGGATGGTGATAGTGATGATGATGGTGATGATTTTAACACGTGAATTACTATTGGTAGTTTCAGAAGTGAAGATTCTATCCTGGTCTTCAGTATCAGAATCACTTTTCATAAGATATAGGAAGGCTCATTCACTCTTTCATTGTACTACTAGTCATTGCTTCATTATTGAAAACTGACACAATCCTCTGAGGGTTTCCTGAGTAGACAGAGTCAGCAGTATGACTTAAGATCCTAAATTCTTTGCCAGAGAGGTGAAGAGGGAAAGAAGCGACAGCAAGTTATGACCTCATTCTTGCTTTCTGAAGTTGTAGTACAGTCTCAACAGCTTCAACTTCCAGTTTTATATGCATTTTTGTGCCAGGTACTGGATTGATGACTCAAGAACATTTTACTGGACTATCTCTTTAAAAATAGTGAGGATATGTCAGTGTTCTAATAAATTTTCTTCCCAAAGGCAACCTTCAGAAAATGTCTCTGGTTTTGGTATTTGAGGCTGAAGAACCTTACACATTCAGTGCTAATGATATACTTACCTGACAGCTTTTATGAAGGTGATTATCTGTAAAATGTGCCATTTTTAACAGACTAGAATACTGATTAGTGTTGATGGTGAGAAATGAAAATCTAGGAGGTGATACAAATATATGAATTGCTTTGTTGTTGTGACTATAATTAGAATTCTCAGAGTGAAAAAACCAGGGACAACAACAACAACAAACCTAGCTGTGCTGGGGTGATGAAAAGAAAAAACTGCCAAGGGCTGAATTTACTTCACAGCAAATTCACTGAATGAAACAATCTAAAGCTGCTCAAACCTGGCATGCTTGAAGCTCCAGGCAGATGGTGAAAAGTATGCATTTGGGGTCTGCCCTTTATTTGTCAGTGTGATACCTCAGGCACCAAATGGGACCCATTGATTTTTGTGTGTCAGAAGAAATGGTTATTAATTTTAAAAAATGTTGCTTTCAGGAAAGACATTTTCTTGGCACAGATATTTACAGGGAAAGTAATGTCTGAGTGATCATTTGTGTAAAGGAGAAGGATGGGCCAGTCTTGCTTAAAATTGGTTGGATTTTTGGTCTGTGGTGATGGCAGTGTATCTACCACAATATGAGTTTGCAAAAATGGAACATTATTCGACGGGGAGAGGATTTGTTTGTCATCTGAATCCCCTCAGGAAGCAGTTTTTTCTTTCTCTGTATCTGTAGAGGTAAGACAAGTCTTGATATTCCAAATTGGAAGTTGTTTGCTTTTAAGTATTCATGCTCTATTATAAATAGACTTTATTCAACTTCTCTATTTTGGTCATCTTAGTCTGATTATGGAATTAACTTTGAGGTAACTGTATCTAATTGACCTCTAATTGATGGACCTGTTACCTGCACATCAGACTGAACTGTTTTAAAGCCACTTGATTAACTGAAGCCAGTTTTATGTGGCCTATGTCTACACGGCAAATTATCAGTAGAGAGTTTAAAAAAAAACAAACCTGAATTACCACTCCTCCATGAAATACCTTGATGAAATACCTGGTCACCTACCCTCTTATTAGTATCACCAAGAACAATAATTTTAATAAGTCTATTTCAATTAAATTGACTGGTTTATGTGTTATTTTAAAATCAGAAGTCATTGATTCCCAATGACCTCATTTCTTTAAACATAAGAGGATCACATTTAACATTATGGCTGTTAAGATTATCTCCTAGTGTTTTGTTTCGCAGAAAAGTATTAAGAAACCATAGAGATTACATAGGCCTATACTCTCATTTGACAGGCAAATATTTTCTGAAAACTATTTAAATTTAATATTTAATTCAAAGTTACACAGCTTATTAGCAGTGGAGCTGAGACAAATTCTATTCTAGAACTCTTTTTACTACTCAGTGATGCTATTTTAAAGTGCATTCCACCATTTTATTATGGTGGTCTTTCAGTGGTCAGCAGACATCACTAAAGAAATTTCTTCAACACATCTTTGTTTGGATTAAACTCACTATTGTAATTCTTTAGTTTCCTTTCTGATTGATCTTTGAGAGCACAAACCTAAAACTAAACACCAGGAAATCATGACTCTGAAACTGAAACATCTAAAGTTTATGTCATAGTTTAGTTCTTCAGTTTCCTTAAGGAAGTATTCCATTTCTCAATTATTTCTAGCCAAGTCCACATGTAATGGGTCATATTTCTTGCTTCCTTAAAAAGTGCTTGTTGTCTATATTGCTATTCTAAAGCCTGTTTCTACATGCTACTAAATGAAAATTGAAGGCAGAGGAAGCCAATTACATTTGTGATTGATTCATCAACTCGTTGATTTAATAAGCATTATGGAATAGTTACTATATACCAGATAGTCTTACAGGATTTGGGGTAGTAGCAGAACAAGGAAAAATCCAGATGTTCCTTCTCTCATCAACTTACATTCTAAGGTGGAACACATCAAATAAATACATATTTAAATAAGTCAAGTGGTGATGAAGTGTTTGAAGAAATAGAAAGCAAGTATCTGAGGAAAGGATATTTTGAGTTGGAAAATAACAAGGGCAAAGATCCTCATGGGGGTATAGAGCAGAATGTTTGAAAAACAGCAAGGGAACAACATGGTTGAAGCTGAGTGAGTTTAAATAAGGGATAATTAGGACAAGGAGTTGTCAGGGATACCATTATGTGGTGTCTTGGAGATTAGGGTAAGGAGGAAAGCCAATTTTATGAGGGTCATGGTCTGTTTGCAATGTGGAAAATAGATTAGAGGTGGTTAAGAGTGGATGCATGAACTAGCAATAGTCTAAGTACAACAATTATGGTCACTTAAGCTAGGCTGGTGGCAGGGATATGGTGAGAAGTGATCAAATTTGAGACAAATGTTGAGCCTAAAAAATTCTAGAAAGATGGAATGTGGGAAGTGAATCAAAGGAAGGGGCTAAATGTGATTCCAAAGTGTGTGGAATAAAATGAAGAATTCCAGGGCAAAGCAGGTTGGGGGTGGAAATTAAGGGGTATCTTTTGGACTTGTTGAGTTTCAGATGCCTATTAGATGTCCATGGGAAGATGTCAACTAAGAATTTGGAGTTGAGGAAGGTTATCAGGCCCAGAGAAATATAAATTTTGCAGTGCTCAGCATATAGATGATAGTACTTAAAGCCATGAGACTAGATGAGATTATCTAGACAGAAAGTGGTAGAAGTAGCATTGGAGACATTGGCAGTGGACAAAATACTAAAATCTCCAATTAATGGGCACCGGTGATAGGCCCACACAGTTGTAACAAGGAGAAGGGGTTGTAGTTGAGGTAGTCTGAAACAAGAGGCTGAAAGGATCTGTGATAAGGATGTCTTACTATATTTTTTCAGGACCAGAGGCAATGTAGGAGAGAGGAGGGGTGGGAAACAGAGAGAGAATAGGAGGACCAAATATACCAGTGTGCTCTAGAGAAAGCTGTATCTTCAAGAAGAGTCAGGATTTCCCAGAGGAAGTTGATAGAAATATTCAGACAGGAGTTTCGGGTTGTTAATTCTTTTTCCATTGAAAGACCAGGACAAACAGCTAATCCAAAAGAAAAGTTTGGGAATATAAATAGCTGATTTCTACAGATTGATCGTGTTCTTGTTAACAATATTCTTGCTGCACAATAATCAGTTTGTGTAATTTTGTTTTATGGAAAGTGTACTAAAATTGGGCCAGAATTTATTCTACATATTCATACCAGGACAGATCCTCAATGTTGATGGCTCAGAAGCTGGAATTTATTATTTCCTGGAAATATAGATACTAACCAAAAGATAAAAGAGACTGGAATAGACACCAAAACAGCATTATACTGACTTTCACCAAGAATATAATCACATAAACAAGATCAGCTCATTCTCCACCTATACTCAAACTGTTCAAAAAGTCAGATCTAATCAGGATGTTTCTTTGGTGACTACACATTCAGAAAAATGTGGATTTAAAAAATATCAGCCATCCTAGATGAAGGAATATCTTACTGGTTCTTAATTTTTGAGTAAAAGACATCTCTGAAAATCTGATGAAGCTATGTACTATCTCCTAAAAAGTACATTTATTTATGCAGAGACCATTGCATATAATTCTATAAAATTGCTAACTTCGTAACTACTGTATCCAAAATTCAGAAAGTTTACCTGCTAGGATCCTACTCTTCATTAAAATATAGAAGTAACCACTTATATTTTGCTGAAAGAGAAATAAAAGCCTCTATCCCTAGCTAAACTAATGCCCCCTTGCCATGCTGGCTGCCCTGGCCCCTCCAACTGGACTCCCTGGAAGGTCACACACTCCAGCAATTAAAGGGTTAACCCTTGGTAGAACCTGGGCACTTGGAGGGCTCTGCTCCAGGATAATGGTGAGTGCTTATTGTGATTGGTTGATACTTATGCTCTATTGGCTGTTAAATATTTGGAACATCATCGCTGTCTATATCTTTGTGCTCTAGGTTAAGACGAGGAAGCAAAACTTTATAACACCCTTCAACAAGACTTTTTGAGCACTTTTGGCAAAGTTCTGTATTTGCATAGTGTTTTCTTTTCTTTTTTTTTTTTGAGACAGAGTCTTGCTCTGTCACCAGGCTGGAGTGCAGTGGTGCGATCTCGGCTCATGGCATCCGCCTCCCAGGTTCAAGCGATTCTCCTACCTCAGCCTCCTGAGTAGCTGGGACTATAGGCGCGTGCCACCGTGCCCAGCTAATTTTTGTATTTTTAGTAGAGTTGGGGTTTCACTATGTTGGCCAGGATGGTCTTGATCTCTTGACCTCATGATCCACCTGTCTGGGCCTCCCAAAGTGCTGGGATTACAGGCCTGAGCCACCGTGCCTGGCAGCATAGTGTTTTCTTAATGTATTACTGAAGATTTTCTAGTACTTCCTCAGGCCCTTATTTGGGTTTGTTAATATCTTGGTTAATGCAGTAAATTAATACTTGTTAATAAAATTAGATGCAACCTGACTTTGCCTGTAGGTGTTCATAGACTATTTGATTGAAATAATCTCTTTGGCAACTAATGACCATCTCTATGTTTAGGGCATAGGCTGATTTTTAAATTTTAATTTCTTAAAAAAACCCTGCAAATTCTTACAATATGGGTGGACTTCACATTTTATTTTTTAGAGTACTGTCTTATTTAACTTGTTTATAGAATTTTTAGAAAACAATACCTTATTATATACCCAAATATTAATAATGGGCTTAAGAAACATATAATCGACTATTTTCTTTAACTTTATAAAGTAATAGATGAAAAATATGAAGTACTCCTCTTAAAAATGAATTCCCAGTGTCATTATGTATATTTCATGAATTAAGAGGATATGGGCATGGGATTCAAAAAGGAAGCCATGTTCCTGAATGACCAATGGGTAAATGAGGAAATTAAGAGGGAAATTAAAAAGTTTCTCGAAACAAATGAAAATGGGAGTACCACATACCAAAATCTATGAAATACAGTAAAAGGAGTACCAGGAGGGAAGTCTATAGCAATAAACACCTACATCAGAAAAGTAGAAGGACTTCAAATAAGCAACCTAATAATGGACCTCAAGGAACTTGAAAAGCAAGAACATACCAAACCCAAAATTACTAAAAGGAAGGTAATAATAAATATCAGAGCAGAAATCAATTAAAAAAACACAAACCAATGAAAGGAACAGCTGGATTTTTGAAAAGATAAAATTGATAAAATGTTAACTAGACTAAGAGAAAAACACATAAAATCAAAACAAAAAGAAGACATGAACTGAGATCACAGAAATACAAAGAATCATTAGACACTATTATAAACAACTATTCATCAACAAATTGGAAAACCTAGAATAAATGCATAAATTCCTGGATACATACAACCTGCCAAGATTGAACCATGAAGAAATAGAAAACTTGGACAAACCAATAACGACTAGTGAGATTGAAGCTGTAATAAAATGTCTCTCATCAAAGAAGACCCCGGTATTTGATGCCTTCATTGCTGAATTTTACCAAACATTTAAAGAAGAACTCATACCAATTCTATTCAGACACTTCAAAAAAAATTGAAGAGGAGGGAATACTTCCAAACTCATTCTATGAGGCCAGAATTACCCTGGTACCCAAACCAGACAAGGACATACCACAAAAAGAAAATGTGAGGCCAATATCAGTGATGAACATAGATGCAAAAGTCCTGAACAAAATACAAGCAAACTGAATTCAATAACACATTAAAAAGATCATTCTTCATGATCAAGTGGAACTCATCCCAGGGATGCAAGGATAGTTCAACATACACAAATTAGTAAACATGTTACATCAAATTAATAAAACCAAGAACAAAAACCACATGATCATTTCAATAGATTCTGAAACAGCATTTGATAAAATTCAACATCCCTTAATGATAAAAGCCCTCAACAAACTGAGTATGAAGGTTCATACCTCAAAATAATAAAGGCCATATATGAAAAACGAAGAGCTAACATCATACTGAATGGGGAAAAATTGAATGCCTTTCCTCTAAATGCTGAAATAAAACAAGGATGCCCACTTTCACCACTTTTATTGAATATAACAATTGAAGTCCTGGGCAGAGCAGTTAGTCAAGAGAAAGAGATTAAAGGCATCCAAATTGGAAAGGAAAAAGTCATACTAGCCTTGTTTGCTGACAACATGATCTTATACCCAGAAAAACCTAAAGACTCCACAAAAACACTATTAGAACGGATCAACAAATTCAGCAGACTTGCAGGATACAAATTCAGTAGACTTGCAGGATACAAAATCATCATAGAAAAATCGGTAGCATTTATGTACACTGACAGTAAACAATCTGAAAAAGAAATCAAGAAAGCAATTTATAATATCTACAAAGAATATAAAATACCTATAAATCAATTTAACCAAAGACGGGAAAGAGCTATTCGAGGAAATCTATAAAACACTGATTAAAGAAATTGAAGTGGACACACACACATAATGGAAAGGTATTCCATGATCATGGATTGGAAAATTAATATTGTTAAAATGATAGTACTTGAAGTGATTTACAGATGTATTGTAATTTTTATCAAAATAGCAATGACATTCTTCACAGAAATAGAAAAATAATCCTAAGATTCATGTGGAATCACAAAGACTTTGAATAGCTGGAGCGATCCTGAGCAAAAAGAACAAAGCTGAAGTCATGATATGACCCAACTTCAAAATTTACTACAAAGCTGTAGTAATCAAAACAGCATGGTAGTAGCATAAAAACACACCCATAGACCAGTGGAACAGAATAGAGAACCCAGATATACATTGATTCATTTGCAGCTAACTTATTTTTGACAAGGTGCCCATAACATGCACTGGGGAAAGGAAATCTCTTCAATAAGTGGTGCTGGGAAAAATGGATAACCATATGCAGAAGAATAAAACTAGATCTCTATCTCTCACCATATACAAAAGTCAAATCAAAATGAATTAAAGACTTAAATGTAAGACCTGAAACTATGAAACTACTAAAAGAAACACTGGGAAATGTTCCAGAACATTGGGCTGGGCAAAATTTTTTTGTGTAAGACCCCAAGAGCACAAGAGCACAGGCAATCAAAGCAAAGCAAAAATAGACAAATGGAATTAAATCAAGTCAAAAATCTTTTTTTTTTTTTTTTTTTTGGAGACAGAGTCTCACTCTGTCACCCAGGCTGGAGTGTAGTGGTGTGATCTCAGCTCACTGCAACCTCCACCTCCGGGGTTCTAGCAATTCTCCTGCCTCAGCCTCCCGAGTAGCTGGGATTACAGGTGCACGCTGCCATGCCCAGCTAATTTTTTCTATTTTAGTAGAGACAGGGTTTCACCATGTTGCCTGGGGTTGGTCTCGAACTTCTGAGCTCAGGCAATCCACTAGCCTTGGCCTCCCAGAGTGCTAGGATTACAGGTATGAGCCACCACGCCTGGCCAAAAATCTTTGCATGACAAAAGAAACAATCAACAAAGTGAACAGACAATCCAGAGAATAAGAGAAAATATTTAAAACTATCCATCTGAGAAGAGATAAATAACCAGAATAGATAAGGAGCTCAAACAACTTGATGTCAATAAATAAATAAATAACAATCTGAGTAAGAAATGGGCAAGAGATCGGAATAGACGTTTCTCAAAAAGAAAAAAAAACCACATACAAATCGGAAAACAAGTATATAAAAAATGCTCAAAATCACTAATCATCAGAGAAATGCAAATCCAAACCACAATAATAAGCTTTCATCTTACCACAGTTAAAATGATTTTTATCAAAAAGACAGGGAATAACGGGTGCTGGCAAGGATATGGAGAAAGAGGAACCCCTCATACACTATTGGTGGGAATGTGAATTAATACAGTCACTAAGGAAAGCAGTATGAAGGTTCCTGAAAACACTAAAAATAGAACTACCATTTGATCCAGCAATTCCGCTACTGGGCATATATTCAAAAGAAAGGAAATCAGTATATTGAAGAGACATACGCACACCCATATTTATTGCAGCACTATTTACCATAGACAAAGACTCAACCTAAGTTCCATCAATGGATGAATGAATAAAGAGAATGTGGTATATATACGTAATAGAATAAATAAGAATGAGAAATAATGAAATCCATAAAAGGAATGAAATCCTGTTATTTGCAGCAACCTGGATAAAACTGGAGGTCATCATGTTAAGTAAAATAAGCCAAAGATAAAAGTACAAATATTGCATATTCTCATTCATATATAGGAGCTAAAAGAAAGTAGATCTCATGAAGATAGAGAGTAGATTTGTCACTACCAGAGGCCAGAAAAGTTAAGGGGTTTGGGAGATGAAAAGAGGTTGATTAATAGGTACAAATATACAGTCAGATTTAAAAAACAGTGTTCTATAGATCAGTAGGGTGAATATAGTTTACAATAATGTACATTTCGAACTAGCTGGAAGATAATAAAGAGAATGTAGCATAAAGGAAATACAAATATTTGGCCTGGCACGGTGGCTCATGCCTGTAATCCTAGCACTTTGGGAGGCGGAGGCCGGTGGATCATCTGAGGTCAGCAGTTCAACCTGGCCAACATGGTGGAACCCCGTCTCTACTAAAAATACAAAAATTAGCCAGGCGTCTTGGCAGGAGCCTGTAATCCCAGCTACTCAGGAGGCTGAGGCAGGAGGATAGCTTATATCTGGGAGGCGGGGGTTGCAGTGAGCTGAGATCACGCCATTGCAATCCAGCCTGGGCGACAAGTGAAACTCCATCTCAAAAAAAAAAAAAAAAAAAAAAATTCAAGATGATAGCCCAATTATGCTGATTTGATCTTTATCCATTATATGAATATATTATGCATAACCCCAAAATATGTACGTCTATTATGTATCAATAAAAATAAATGGAAGCCAAAAAGAGTAAATGTTATTTGTTAAAAGATGTTATTCTTAATGAGATTAGAAATGACATGCCCGTATTTTAGTGCATTACAATAAAATGAATATCCTTAGTTATTAATGAAATCCGAAGGATAAAGTGAAAAGGCATGTGTAGAAAGATGTATCTCTGGAAGTTTTTCAAGTGATTAAACATACTTACAAATAACTCAGCATATCCATTCCTAGGTATATACCTAAGAGAAAGGAAAACATACATCCACACAAAAATCTCTGCCCAAATGTTTATAGCAACATTATTCATGACTGCCGAAAGGCAAAAACAACTCCAACTGTTCATCAATGAAGTAATGGGTAAACACAAATGTAATTTACCCATACAATAAAATGTTATCTGCTCCTAAAAATGGACAAAGTATAGCTATATATTACAATTGGATGAAACTTGAAAACATTATGCTAAGTGAAAAAAGACAGTAAAAAAATCACATATGATTCTATTTATATGACATGTCCAGAGTCTATAGAGACAAAAGGCAGATTAGTGGAGTGGGATGGACTGGAGGGTTTAGGGCAGTGATACCTAAAGGTTGCATGGTTTCTTTTAGAGGCAATGAAAAATGTTCTAAATTGGTTGTGGTGATGGTTGCACATATTTGTGAATATACTAAAAACCATTGCATTGTACACTTAACTGAGTGAATTGTATGTGAATTATATCTCTGTAAAGCTGTTGTTTTAAACATAAACTACAGCAGATTTGTTTGCTCTACTACTCCACTCCACTACTTTATGCTCAGGCACTGAAGTTTTACCCAACATTATTTTTGCACCATCAGTGCAAATGGCAACACAGTGAAAAAATAATAATTTGATATTACTATGAAAATGTTTTTGACCTCGTGGATCACCTGAAAAGGTTTCAGAGACCTCCATGCACCTTCAGACCACATTGTTTAAGAGAATAAAGGTGTTAGAATGAGCAATACTCACATATGCCATACCACACTTCCCCTGGAGAGAGGTTAGTAAACAAGGTTTCACTTGGATCTCATTCAAGGGTTTTGAATCTTTCAAGGAGCCAAATGCCGTCTTTATAAATTGTTTTCACCTACAGTATAGTTGAGTGTCATGGGCCCCAAGAGAGGAAGACAAACATATCTCTGGCGTATTTCATTTTCAGTGTGCAGTTGCACCAGTAACAATAAATATTTGTTGTGAATGGATCCATAACCCCTTACAAATTACTCTTTGGTTGCATTTCTGATTGCTTTGTTACAGGCAATAAACCCTGCCAGACAGCAGACCTCTGATGCTTTTTAATCAAATAACAGAATCCTGAAAAGGTCAGAACTGTAACTTATAAAAGCACTTTTCACTAGCTGTCCCAAAAGGAATGAAAGATCAAAATGTGAGTGATTCCCTAAGCAGAAATGCCATCCAAACATGAGAATCAAAAACACATTGCTTTAAAGTGAGACAGTATTGACAATGAGTTAGAAAAAGACAAATAAATTTCTCCTGGGCCTTGGACCGCCTTCTTCCATTTTCTGTCTTTTATCTAGGTTTAAGAAATTAAATTATCTTCATGGATTTAAGAAATCAGATCCTAATATAAACAAATGGAAGAAACCATTGTGCCACCAATAAGCTTTCTACAATAATTTGGCCCACACCATATGGAATTTATTTACTTTTGTCAGTAATTTCCCCCAGGATAGTTATAACTCTCTGACCATTTAGTGCATGCAATTTGATCTGGGAGGTAGACTCAAAGATAGGATGGTACATTTGCTTGATCTTGAGATCTGGAACAGTTGCCAGGGCATGTAGTTTTATTGGTGCACTTGTTCCCTTTATCAGCCAGATTCTCCACTGAAATACAATCTGTTACTGGACATTCATTTGTTATTTGACTCCTTGTATATCATATGAGCAGTGATTGTCCAAGAAAATATAAACAGAAAACAGGTGACAAATAAAAGTGATCATTAATTTAATGACCACAAAAGAATGAATGGAAATATTTTAAAGGCACATTTGCCACACTTACAGCAGTATTTGTAACTAGAAATTAAAGTTGAAATACAGGCACAGCATGAACTTCCAAAGGTAACTATTTGTTGTTACTCTGCTTTTTATTCAAAATTATACAACTAAATATCATGTTTCTCCAAGGCTTGATATGAAAATCATCACTTCCCTGATCCCATCATTTCCCAATTCCCAAAGCAATTACTTTCAGTTCTTTTGTTTGATTTATTTGATATTTACCTCTGAACTTCTGAATAACATGCATGTATTGCTACTCTGGATTTATTGGTTTTAGGCATTGTCTGTTTACATCCAACTATGGACAATAAGAATTTAGCTTTCTTTTAACCCTTTGCTCCCTGATTCAAACATGTATATTTCCTGCCCATGGCCCATATACTCTTGGTATATTTATATAATGATTCAGTAAATATTTATAATAATATGCAGTGTTTAGATAGGTGAACTGTATACCTGGATAAGCCTTGTAATATAATTTGATTACTTTTCTTTCCTGTGCGACATCCTTTTCCTTCCCAGACTTAATAATTGTTTACCTAGTTTTTGATGTAATCAACACTAACATATTAAAACAGTATATTAAAACAAAACTTTACTGTATTGGGAAAAATGTCTTGCCTAAAGCTTTTATATCTGCACCTGTCTGAATTGATTGATTTCTAGACATGCTGTACAGCTGCCATTTGGAGATTTCCTTTCACTATCAGCCTAGCTATTCCCTTGGCCTATCTTTGGTGATAGATTCTCTGCTTCCTGGATCCCATATTTTAAATTTTTAGTTTACTTTCACATTTTGGTAAAGGATATCTTTCAATATTTTTCTGAAAATTCATGCATGGGAAATACATGTTTAGAGCTCTTACAGGGCTCAAAACACTCTTATTCTATTCTCTACCATATTTAAGCATCTGTCTTGGGCAAAAAAAAGTTCTAGATTAAAAATCATTTTTTTCACAGAATTTTGGAGGCAATTCTAAATTTTCATGACTTTCAGGAGCACTGTGGAGAAGTACAATAATATTTTGAAGCTTGATCCTTGTGTTATACTGCTTTTCCTGTTTCTCTAAAAGCTTACATAATCTCTTCTCCCCAATATTCTGAAATTTCACAGTAATGAGCTTTTGTGTCTTCTAATTATATCCACTCTGCTGAGAATTTTTTAGGTCCATGCTTGCTCTTCATTTTTGGATTTTTGTTGTTAGTATTTCATTGATGGTTTCTTTGTCTTCATTTTTCTTTTTTTATAATTGTACATATTTAGGGGGCACATGTAATATTTTGATACATGCACACAATGAATAATGATCAGATAAGGATATTTAGGATACCCACAACCTCAAACATTTATCATTTCTTTTTTTGTTATCTTTTACATTCATGGGTACATGGGCAGTTTGTTATATAAGTAAACTTGTGTCATGGGGGTTTGTTGTACACATTATTTCATTACCCAGGTATTTAGCCTAGTACCCATTAGTTATTCTTCCTGATCCTCTCCCTCCTCCCACCCTCCAGCCTCCAGTAGGCTTTAGTGTCTATTGGTCCCCTCTATGTGTCCATGTGTTCTCATCATTTAGCTCCCACTTGTAAGTAAGAACATGAGGTATTTGGTTTTCTGTTCCTGTGTTAGTTTGCTAAGGATAATGGTCTCTAGCTCCATCCATGCTCTTGCAAAGGATGTGATCTTACTCTTTTTTATGGATGCATATTCTTTCATGGTATATATATATATATATATATATATCACATTTTCTTTATCCAGTCTACCATTGATGGATGTTTAGGTTGATTTCATGTCTTTGCTATTGTGAATAGTGCTGCACTGAACACACATGCATGTGTCTTTATGATAGAATGATTTATATTCCTTTGGGTATATACCCAGTAATGGGATTGCTAGGTAGAATGGTGGTTCTGTTTTCAGATCTTTGAGGAATCACCAGTGTCTTCCATAATGGTTGAACTAATTTATATTCCCACCAACAGTGTATAAGCATTCCCTTTTCTCTACAACTTCACCAGCATCTGTTTTTTTTTTTTTTTTTTGACTTTTTAGTAATAGCCATTCTGACTGATGTGAGATAGTATCTCATTGTGGTTTTGATTTGCATTTCTCTAATGATCAGTGATGTTCAGCTTTTTTCCATATGCTGGTTGGCAACACGTATGTCTTCTTTTGAAAAGTATGTGTTCATGTCCTTTGCCCACTTTTTAATGGGTCTTTTTGTCTTGTAGATGTGTTTAAATTCCTTATGGATGCTGGATATTTGACTTTTGTCAGAAGCATAGTTTGCAAAATTTTTCTCCCATTCTGCGGGTTCTCTGCTTACTCTTGGTAGTATCTTTGGTTGTGCAGAAGCTCTTTAGTTTAACTATATCCCATTTGTCAATTTTTGCTTTTGTTGCAATTGCTTTTGGCTTCTTTGTTATGACATCTTTGCCCATGCCTATGTCCAGAATGGTATTGCTTAAGTTGTCTTCCGGGATTTTTATAGTTTTTAAAGTCTTTAAGCCATCTCAAGTTCATTTTTGTATTAATATGTAGTATAAGAAAGGGGTTCATTTTTGACCTTCTTCGTATGGCTATCCAGTTATCCCATCACCATTTACTTAGTAGAGAATCCTTGCCCCATTGCTTGTTTTGTCAGGTTTGTCAAAGATCAGATGGTTGTAGATGTGCAGTCTTTTCTCTGAGTTCTCTATTCTGTTCCATTGGTCTATATGTCAATGTTTGTACCAGTGCCATGCTGTTTTTTTCACTGTAGCCCTGTAGTATAGTTTGAAGTCAGGTAGTGTGATGCCTCCTGCTTTGTTCTTTTTGCTTAGAATTGGTGTGGCTCTTTGGGCTCTTTTTGGTTCCATATTAATTTTAAAATAGTCTGAGAGAGTGGTTGGTATGATTTCAGTTATTTTGCATTTGCTGAGGATTTTTTTACATCTGACTGTGTGGTTGATTTTAGACTCTGTGTCATATGGCAATGAGAAAAATGTGTATTTTGTTGTTTTTGGGTGGAGAGTTCTGTAGATGTATATCAGGTCCATTTGGTCCAGTGCTGAGTTCAAGTCCTGAATACCTTTGTTAATTTTCCATCTCAGTGATCTGTCTAATATTGTCAGTGGGATATTGAAGTCTCTCACTACTATTGTGTGGGAGTCTAAGTCTCTTTGAAGGCCTCTAAGAACTTGCTTTATGAATCTGGGTGCTCCTGTGTTGGGTGTATTGTATATATATTTAGAATGGTTAGGTCTTCTTGTTGAATTGAACTGTTTACCATTATGTAATGCTTATTTTTGTCTTTTTAAATCCTTTTTGGTTTAATGTCATTTTGTCTAAAATTAGGACTGCAACTCCTACTTTTTTTCTGTTTTGTATTTGCTTGGCAGATTTTTCTCCATCCCTTTATATTGAGCTTATGGGTTTCATTGCATGTGGGATGGGTCTTTTGAAGACAGCATACCACTGGGCATTCTTTATCCAGCTTTCCACCCTGTGCCTTTTAATTGGGGTCATTTATCCCATTTAAATTTAACATTAGTATTGATATGAATGAATTTGATCCTGTTATCATGTTGTTAGCTGTTTACTCTTCTCGCTAGTTTGTGTAGTTGCTTTATAGTGTTACTGGTCTGTGTACTTCAGTGAGTTTTTGTAGTGGGTAGTAATGGTCTTTACTTTCCATATTTGGTGCTTTCGGGAGCTCTTGTAAGACGGCTGCTAACAAATTCCCTCAGTATTTGCTTCTCTGAAAAGGATCTTATTTCCCCTTTGCTTATGAAGCTTAGTTTGGTTGGATATAAAATTCTTGGTTGGAATTTCTTTTTTTTAAGAATGTTGGATATAGGCCCCCTTCTCTTCTGGCTTGTATGGTTTCTGCTGAGAGGTCCACTGTTAGTCTGGTGGACTTCCCTTTGTAGGTGACTTCTCCTTTCTCTAGCTACCTTTAACATTTTTTCTTTCGTTTTGACCTTGGAGAATCTGAGGATTATGTGTCTTGGGGATGATCTTCTTGTGAAGTATCTTACTGGGGTTCTTTGCATTTCCTGAATTTGAACGTTGGCCTCTCTAGCTAGGTTGGGGAAGTCCTCATGGATGAGATCCCGAAATTGTTTTCCAAGTTGCTTCCATTGTCCTAATTTTTTATCAGGGACAGCAATGAGTCACAGATTTTATCTCTTTATGCAATCTCATATTTCTTTTGTTCATTCCTTTTTATTCTTTTTTCTCTATTTTTGTCTATCTTATTTCAGAAAGCCAGTCTTCAAGCTCTGAGATTCTTTCCTCAGTTAGATGTGTTCTGCTATTAATACTTGGCGATAGCATTATAAAATTCTTGTATTGTGATGTCCAGCTTTATCCAGGTCAGTTACATTCTTTTCTATACTGGCTGCTTTGTCAGTTCTTGGATCATTTTATTGTGACAAGCTCCCTTGTCTTGGGTTACAATGTTCTCCTACATCTCACTGATCTTAGTTCCTATCCATGTTCTGAATTCTCTTTCTGTCATTTTAGTGATCTCAGCCTTGTTCAGACCCTTGCTAGAAAAGTAGTGCAGTCATTTGAAGGAAAGAAGGCACTTGGCTTTTTGAGTGGTGAGAGTTCTTGTGTTGGTTCTTTTTCATCTTTCTGGATTGACGTTCCTTCAATCTTTGAAGTTGCTATCCTTTGGATGTTTTTGTTTTTTTCTTTTACTCTATTTGATGACCTCGAGGGTTTGATTGTGGTATAAGGTGGGTTCATTTCTGGAAGATTTTAGGGGGCCAAAGCTCAGCTCACAACTTCTAGACTGCATTCTTCTAGAAGAATGGCTTAAAAGGAAAGACCTCCTAATTTGAGGCCCTCATTTTCGCTGTAAGCATGAATAGAGTAAGCTTGTTGATATGAGTCTAGTTTTTCTAGACTCTTTTCTAGACTTGGAAAAGAGTTATAGAATGAAGACAAAGTTTTGTGCAGTGCAGCACTGTCTATTATGATAAAAATATAAGAATTTTAGTGTCTTCTTTGATTCACTTTGGCCATATATTTTTCATCTGATTTTCCCCAAATTCATCATAAATAATGTTTGGATGAAAATCTCTGTTCTGCTGCTCACATTATTCCTCTGTAACTCCCTCCTTGTTTCTTTCCACCCAGAGATCCAGTAGCATAGTTGCACCTTGGTGGGTGCTAGGATCTCTTTCCTGCAGTTTGGCAGTGTACCTTGAATGGGGGATGTATCTTCTCACTCCCTGGAGTGAGCTATTTATTTCACAACTATCCTGTGCCTAGTGAGTATGGTGGGCCCAGTGCGCCTCTGTAGAGATTGTAAACACCCTTCCCCTAAGCTTTGCTGTTACTGAGGGGAGAGGAGCAATACCTTAATTTGTACACATATTTATATATTTTGGAAACTTGGATCACTGCATAGCGAACCATAAAATTAGTGAAAACAAGAACAAAAAACTTCTCATAATTCTGGGACTTAAAAAATATTTTAACATTGAATTTGGGTATGTTGAGAAAATGTACCACTAATGATGGCCACTGAGCTTCCTGGTGGACTATGACAGCTTTTTCTT
This sequence comes from Homo sapiens, assembly GCF_000001405.40. Lineage (NCBI taxonomy): Eukaryota > Metazoa > Chordata > Mammalia > Primates > Hominidae > Homo > Homo sapiens. The sequence continues at coordinate 53,766,046 of NC_000018.10, read as the reverse complement.
TTCTTTTCTTTTCTTTTTTTTTGAGACGAAGTTTTGCTTTTGTTGCCCAGACTGGAGTACACTGGCGTGATCTCGGCTCACCGCAACCTCTACCTCCCGGGTTCAAGTGATTCTCCCACCTCAGCCTCCCGAGTAGCTGGGATTACAGGCATGCGCCTCCATGCCCAGCTAATTTTGTATTTTTAGTAGAGACGGGGTTTCTCCATGTTAGTCAGGCTGGTCTCGAACTCCCGACCTCAGGTGATCCACCAGCCTCGGCCTCCCAAAGTGCTGGGATTATAGGCATAAGCCACTGTGCCTGGCCCATGACAGCTTTTTCACCAACAGATGGATCAGTCTACAACTTAGATTCTGCATTGACCACTCAGCCCACTGACTAACATCAATGTGCTCTGTTACAAGGAAAAATATAAGACTTAAAAATATTTACACACCACGGGTAACTCTTTCTTGCTATAAATGTAAAAATAATTGCACATTTTATGGTGCTGTTTTTTTCTACTTTATTGGCAAGCATGAGATTTATGTAAGGAACTTTTAAAATCAGTCAGCGTGTACTAATGACCTTATTCTTTGCCAAGATTATTGGAGACAAATCGAATCCATCTGCATGGTCAAATAAAAGATGATAGATGAATAAATTCAAAATCTCAAAAAAATAGAAACAGGGTAAACAACTTTGCCATTCCAAAGATATACACAGATCCATCTTTCTATTGGCAAGATCACCTGTTTAAATTTTACATCTTAGGGGATTTTTCTCCACTGAGTCTAACAGTATACCATGTGGTGCTGACATTGAGATAATTATGTTTGTAACATCTTTTGGTCTTTCAGGATGCCAAGTTATTTTCTCTGTCAACATATTATTTGGTATTCTTATTCTGGGCCAAATTCATCAAGAAAAAGAAAGGGCAGAGAGGTTTCTCTTTCTTCTAGCTTTATCCAACAAATAAAATTTCTATTTACCACCAGATGAAAGTAGCTAAAATGAAAGATAGTTCCAGTGATGAACTGTTGAATTTCAATATTTATAATACTGGCCCACAATTCATGGAGGGACTAACACTGTTTATTATTTACTAAGTCTCGATTTTCTGCAACTATTGACATTTCGTTATTTAAAATGATTATTCATCCTTGTTTTGAAGCCAGAGCTTCTATTTAACCGAATTACTTTCTTTGCAGCTTTAAATTGAATATAACGTCAGAATTCTTGCAGCTTCTTTTATGACCTGCTTGGTTAAGGTTCAGTTACAAGTGGAGGATCTATTTAAAACCTTTAATTTTAATGAATAAGAATGCCATTTATTTGTGCATACTTGATAAATAAGAAATGTCTTGGCCTTATCTCTTTGATTAATCCCGCTCATTGCTTGTAAATATAAAATATAAAAAAATGCTGCATGTACAATATGCATTTTAGCTTAAATAGAATTTTCTCAAAGAGCACTTCTTCTGGGTAATTCTTATTTTAAATGAGCTATTAGAACCTTTTGGTACTCTTACGAGTTTAGGCACCAATAATTGTCCTTTCATAAAGGAAGCCAAAGGAAAAAGTTGATGGAAATGGTAAGCCATCCAGAGGAATAAAGGAAAAGTTATAGTAGGAAAGAGAAGCAAGAGGGAACTGAGTTATGTTGTTTCATCCAAGTTTAAAGAGAACATCAGTGACATGGAAGTCCTAGGTGGTGAGTCTGTAACATGAGCTAGACTCATAGACATTGGGTTTTTGTGGTCATGGCTGACTGGAGACAGAAGGTGAAGAGGTGCAGGAACAACCAGGAATTGTGGTAGTGATGCTTGAGAAGAAAAATTGTTGTTCATGTAGCTACAAGGTTTCCCGGCTGTGTTTGTGCTATGTGTGAGGACTCACCCTAGGTAAAGGGAATTTCCCTTTGTAGCTTGATGATGTATATAAATTTTTGTTAAGGATAAAAGTAAATGTAAAAGGAAATCCCACGAAGATATTTTCTGAATAGAGAAAATTATGTCTATAAAGTTCTCATGTTCCAGGTAAAGAAAAAGAGCATCAAAGATGGCAGATGAAGGCTATGGGTTTATTAGACTGGGATTATACAGGTTATTTTCAGGGTCTATTTGTACTTTACCAACTTAATGTTTAATATAATAATTTCTGTTAATTGAAGCCTTAATAAAATTGTATTAAGAATGTTTGTCTGGTATAAATAATGGGTAAGAAGAAGAAGGACCATAGCTCTGGTCGCCTGGGGACAGTCCATTTATGTTGTTGAGGATGATGATGTTTGCCATCTGGGAGAAGGGAATTTCTGGATTCTCTCCACTTCCCATGCATTTGCTTTGGGGAGTACTTGCATCTTCTCAACCACTTGGGGAGCTGAAGCCAGCTATGGTTTGCTGCTTCCCCCTTCCTCTTTCTACCTTTTTTGCATGAACGGTCTACCACGTGGTTATTGCAGATTTCCTCATGGGATTTATGTTTGCAGTTCCTGATGCTTTTCTTTTTTCTTTTCTTTTTTTTTTTTTTTTTTTTTTTGGAGAAGGAGTTTCACTCTTGTTGCCCAGGCTGGAGTACAGTGGCGGGATCTTGGCTCACTGCAACCTCCACCTCCCAGGTTCAAGCGATTCTCCTGCCTCAGCCTCCTGAGTAGCTGGGATTACAGGCACCTGCCACCACACCAGGCTAATTTTTGTAATTTTAGTAGACACAGGATTTCATCATGTTGGCCAGGCTGGTCTCCAACTCCTGACCTCAGGTGATCCACCTACCTCAGCCTCCCAAAGTGCTAGGATTACAGGCGTGAGCCACTGCGCATGGCCTGATGCTTATTTTCAGGTAATGTCTTAGTAATTCTTTAAAATGAAATTGTGAAACCTGGTGTATGGTGGGAATTGGACCTGCTTCAACCTGATCACTTCTTTTTATTTTCTGGTTTATAAAGAGCTACTGAATGGGTGATACATAGTGAATAACACTCTATAACTCCACTTTGACCCTGGAGTTGAATGATCTTCATTGTCTTTTATTGATAAAACCTAAGGCCTAAGCTAAACCTCCCTTTTATTCACATTTCCTATATATTTGCTCCACATAGAACTCATTTTCTTCCTCTCTCTCTCCCTCCTCTCTCAAACACCCACTCCCATGTATTTCTATTTGAATACAAATATATAACAAATGTGATTATGCTTTTATTCTAGATTTCAATGTACTATAAAATCAGTAATAAAACATTACACAACTCTTTAAATTACTGATATATTTACATCATTGTAATTTTACTTCATTTGGATAACCTTGAAAATGTCCACTTACGGTCATCTTCTGTCTTTCTCTTCACTGTTTAGATAATTCAATAATTTGTGCACTTGCCTTTATTTTGCTATTTACTTTTTCTCGGTACTGCTTTTCTGCATATGTTACTGGAAAGTTTACATTCTAGTTCTACTTTCTACTACATTTCTCTGGCTTTAATGAGATTAAATTTACCAATGTACATATATCATGCAATTATTTTCTTAATGCTTTATGGGCATGATTTTTCTTATGATTCTTAGTGAGCACATTCCTTAAACTATGACATATAACATATAAAATACATTCAATTAAACAGCTTGGTAAACAGTAGGATATACCAGACCATGGAATGACAGGCAAGGCTGGACATTTAGGACAACTGATAGTTGTAGAACAATTGATAGGTAGAGTCTGGGAAAAGGGTGCTTAAAAGAGGTTCATGGCTGGGCACGGTGGCTCACCCCTGTAATCCCAGCACTTTCGGGGGCCGAGGCAGGCGGATCACGAGGTCAGGAGATTGAGACCATCCTGGCTAACACGGTGAAACCCCGTCTCTACTAAAAATACAAAAAATTAGCCGGGCGTGGTGGTGGGCACCTGTAGTCCCAGCTGCTCAGGAGGCTGAGGCAGGAGAATGGCGTGAACCCAGGAGGCGGAGCTTGCAGTGAGCCGAGATCGCGCCACTGCAGTCGGCCTGGGCGACACAGCAAGACTCGGTCTCAAAAAAAAAAAAAAAAAAAGGTTCATATTCAACCATTTTTGGATGGAAAAACAAATTTATGAAGTTTGGAAAACAGATGTAAGTTCAGCAGATCAATCCAAAATCCAAAAGAAAAGAATAAATGGAATGGAACTGAAATGGCTAAAGATTTTCTAAAATTAGGGCCTTCCCTTTCTCCGTGTAGAATTGTTGCAGAGCAACAGCTGCCCTGCCAAAGACCATACTCCCCACCTTCCTTGCACCTAGATATGGCCATGTGACTAGTTCTCTGCAGTGAATATGACCGTAAGTGATAAGTGTCACTTCCATGCCAAGAAACTTTAGAAGTAGGTGGGCTTTTTTGTTGTTGTTGTAGCTAGAGATGGTGTCTCACTATGTTACCCAGGTTGGTCTTGAACTGCTGGGCTCATGTGATCCTCCTACTTTGGCCTCCCAAAGGGCTGGAATTATAGACATAAGCCACTGTGCCTGACCATGGTGAATTTTAAGAGGTTTGGTACCACAGTTAGATGGTTTAGGAGGGGAAATCAGATCATCTCAATATATAATTACATTTTTACTGGGAAAGCAATATGTAAAAGACTTTATTAGTTAGAAATTATCAAAGCCCATTTAGTGGCTGAGAATATGACCAGGAGTGATAAGTGTCACTCACATGCCAAGAAGCTTTAGAAGCAGGTGGGCTTTTTCCACTGTCTGCTTTGTCTTGGAAGGCATGTGTTGAAGCAGTAGATTCACAGAATAAAAGGAGCCTGGTCCCCTAATCTCTGTTTGGAGAAGTGCTACACACTGATTAGGAACACCTACCTTGGAACTTAAATGAATGACAAATAAAATTCTGCCATGATTTGATTGTTACCTGTTTTGTTTTGTTATAGTAGCTAACATTGCTAAATAGTATAGTGAATATGGGAAGGTGAATGGCAGAAATCTAGATAACAGCCACTTTGTTCAGTTCCAAGTGGCCAGAGGAGGTATCAGGAATGTCCAGAGAGAAGATGTCAGGACAAGTAGTGGTCAAAGGCTAGTCACCAAGAATCTGGAAAAACAGGAAAAGAACATGGACAGATTGAAAGTGTAATTTATCCATATCAGAAAGGTAAAACAACTATTGTCTCCTAATGCTGAAACAGAAAATTTCTAAAGTTAAAAAAAAAATCTGTACTAGGGAGAGGCTTAGTCCTAGAGATTGGTGTGGAATTAATATACAGATGAGTTTTTTTGTGGTCATTCTTTTTTTTTGAAACAGGCTCATGTGGCCTCAAACTCCTGGGCACAAGAAGTGATCCTCCAGCCTCAGCCTCTGGAGAAGCTAGGAATATGGGCACATGCCACCACACCTGGCTAATTTTTGTTTTTTTGGTGGGAGTAAAGATGGGGGTCTCACTATGTTGCCCAGGCTGGTCTTGAACTCCTGGGCTCAAGCAATCCTCCCACCCTGGCCTCCGAAAGTGCTGGGATCACAAATATAAGTCACTACATCCAGCCCTGGTGTGATTTAAGAGGTTTAATTACCATAGTTAGATGGTTTAGGAAGAGAAAATTAAAGAGATCATCTCAATATATAGGTAAATTTTTACTGAGAAAGCAATGTGTAAAAGATTTGGTTAATTATAAATATCAAAGCCCATTTAGTTGCTGAGATATTGTGCAAAGACCTTAAATGTGATCATGGCAAAGACGGAAAACAAATTTCCTTTGGGCCTTTGGTATAAGTTACAATTTAGAACATTGTGTGAGGGCCACAGTACACTTGGTGAGTATGCCTCCGTGGATTATATGCCTTAGTTGGCCCAAGGAATTGAATCATATTGTTAGTGATAAAAAATCAATTTTCTCATAATTAATCAGATTTTATGAGTTCTCTGATGTCTTAATGATCAAATTAAGTTTAACTTCACAAGAGTCATTGGATCTCATATTAGAATTACACTTGCTTAGTCTTCTCTGGAGAATCCCAAAAAGCCTTAATCTCACCACTGACCTTGCTGTAGAGAAATAATTATTACTGGGAGCGTAACTTCGACTTTTAGAACATCCGACTGCAGTCTGGGTTGGAAATAAGTGTTATATTGTTTGAAATTTACATTTGTGTTAGACATGACTTTGTTCCTTGGTTATAAAAGGCAATTACATAAGTAGAAAGTGATATTGAAGGTAAGTTTAAAGAGACATGACAGAAGTTCAACAAAGTCATACATTCTGAGACAAGGGTACTTATTATCTCTTTAAATGCAGAGACATTGTCTCCTACTGTACTTCCTGTGTATAGAAATTAACATCTAATATTCTAATGAGAAGATCACAAATAAGGAGATAATTATACAGGAAGGAAAAGGGAGTGACTAGGTCTATATTATGTTACAGAAATGAATCTGAATAGATAATACTTGCCTGATGACTAATATGTGATAAGTTCAACTTTCAACTAAAATGTAGATAATATATTTATGCCAGTTGCCATTAGCAGTGACTTGAGGTTATTTATATTATCTGAACTGAAAGATTTCATTCCCTAGGATTCCCAGATAATTGAGACAAAGGACATTTTTTAACCTGGAAGATTAAATAGCAATACAAAGAGCACTACAAGAGATATGGTAAGGCCATGTGTATTTAATATTCAAAGACAGTAAATACTGTGAGTTCAGAGGAGGCTACTGTGGTCTGGGAATGTTTCATAAATAAGAAAAACTTATAATACAAGTTATAGTTCAGGGATGGGCTTATACCCTCTTATACACAAGAGGCTTTGGGTAGGCAGACAAAAAGGGAATCTAATGTTCCACAGAAGAAAATAAAATGTGAGAACAAAAGTAGGGTATTTTGAAAAGTGTTTGGGTGGCAGTGAGCAAAGACTAATTATAAAGTTTTAGTGGGAGATGAGGTTGGGAATATAAATGGGAGACAGATTGCAAAGGATCTTAATTATCAGCTTAGGAAATTTATACTTTATTCTAAGGGCAATTTGAGATGTTGAAGATTTTTGAAGCAGAGAATGATCTTTGAGGAAGGCATATAGTAGAGGTATGCAAATGAATTGCCCGTGGAAGAGGCTGGAAGGAGGTGGACTTTGAAGTAACTGTAAGATGATACAATCCCATGAGTGAGGAAATCACTAGAGGAGATTAGAAAAAAGGCTAAGCAGGAGAGACAGCTCATCTGGGACAATATCAGAAGGCTTGGATCACAACATGTAAAGCCTTAAATGGAACTGAGCTTGTAGGCTATGACAAAGATTCTCTGTGTCACCAAAATTTAGGCTTCTGAACTTTCTCCTAGGCCCATTTCTGCACTTCCTTGTAAAACCCAGTTTTAGCAAAGAACACTGTTAAGTCAGTTTACCAAGAACTCCCCGGCCTTTATATCTGATCACCCTTGATACCTGACCAGGTTCGTCATCCCCTGCTGTCCCCTAGGTGATGATTGATCACCCTGGCCTGTCTTTAGCAAGAATCCTGCTAGATCAGTTTAGCCAGAATCCCCCTTGCCCTGATGTTTCCTTGGAGCAATGTTAAATCTTCTGCTCCCCCAGCACCCACATTCCTTGGCTGTAAATTCTTACTTGCCCATGCCGTATCCAGAGTTGAGCCCAATGTCTGCCTACCCTCCCCCACCCACGCCCCAGCAAAATCCCATTTTCAGTGGTTCCTACACCTATGGTGATGGTCCTGAAAAATCTCTCCCCAATCATGCTTGGACAAGTATCATTGCATAATTCTTTTTAACAGCTACCAAAATATTTTAGCGACAGGGAAGGAAAAGATCAGAGCTACTCTGTGAGCAAATTAATCCAGTGATTGCCAAGAGTAGGATGAGTGGAATTAGTGATAGCTGAGAGGTAAAGGAACCAGTTGACAGGGTATTTCATTAGTCAAAGTTTAAGGTCATAGGGAGGAACTTGAATAGTTTTAGTAGGAATAGAAAAAACAGAATACATTTGAGAGAAAACATGGTAAGTTGGTTGGATATGTGATAAAGGAAAAGAGTTAAGGGCATTCGGTGAATGTATCAGGGTGGGATTCTCTACTAAATTATGTTAGAATTAGTTGGACATTAAACAAATGAATAGCCTACTGCTATTGTTTGAATGTTTCCTTCCAAAATTCATGTTAAAACTTAATCCCCATTGCGGTGGTAGTAAGAGGTGGGGCCTTTTGGAAAGTGATAAAGTCACAAGGGCTGTGACCTAGTTATGGGATTAATGCCCTTACAAAAGAGGCTTCAGAGAGCTGCCTGGTCCTTCCATCTCTCTTAACCTATGAGATCACAGCATTTGCTACATTTCTGTCCTTCTGCTATGTGAAGATGGGGCAGGAAGGGCACCATCTTGGAAGCAGAGAGAACCCTTACCAGATTCTGAATCGGCTGATGCCTTAATCTTAGGCTTCCCAGCTTTTAGGACTGTGAGAAATAAATTTCTTTTGTTTACAAAGTGTCGAGTTTAAGCTATTTTGATATAGCAGCAGGAATAGACTGTCACTCAATGAGTCAGAATCTCTAGGAGCATGCCCTGGGAATGTGAATGAAAAATAAACTGAAGAAGACTCTTTGGCATACACTTAGGCTTGAAACTGGCTTAAAATAAATAACATGAATTTGGAAGTCAGTGAGGTCTAGGCTTATTCTCTGTGTTGCTTAGTAGTTCTTTCTGATGGCATGCTAGTTAACTTAAATTCTCCCAAGTCTTAGCCACCTTATCTATACAATGAGGATAAGTTAAATTCAACTTACGGAGTAACTAACATTAAATAACATATGGAGAGATTTAATCCATGCTAAGAACATAATAGATTCTTACAAATTGTGGCCATTATAATATAAAAATAAAACTGTGCAGAGTGAGCAAATATAAAAAGGTTTTGATTTTAGATAAATGTTAGACATCAAAACTTTTAAAAGTCTTTCTCAGGAATATCTGATTTTAGCCAACACTTTTTTATTACTGGTAGGTATAGGAATCAGTTACAAAATCCCATTACTCATGTATCTAAAATTAGGAAAATGTTTGCCAAACAGTGAGCTAAATAAGCATTTGGTTTCTTGAGGGATTTATAGCCTTAAAATAGACATTTGACATTAGAGGCTGAGTTTCCCATTCCTGAACACACATTAACTTACTAGGAGGAAGATGTATAGTTGTGGTGGAGGAGTTGATGAAAAGCAGAATAGAAAGCCTCTACCTGTTAGCAGCAGTGAATCCAACAGGTCTGCAGCAAACTCAGTTCTTGCCTCCTCAGTGGAAAGAATTTGGCTAAGGGGCATAGTGCAGAGCGAGAGACTAGGGCAAGTTTTAGAGCAGCAGTGAAAGTTTATTTAAAAGTTTTAGAGAACGAACGAAAGGAAGTAAAGTGCACTTGGAAGAGGGCCAAGCAGGCATCTTGAAAGATCTGAGTGCAGTGTTCAGCCCTTGACCTGGGGTTTTATACATTGGCATGATTCTGAGGTTTGCATTTCTTCTTCCCTGATTCTTCCCTTGGGGTGGGCTGTCTGCATGTACAGTGGCCTGCCAGCACTTGGGAGGGGCTGCATGTGCACTGTGTTTACTGAGGTTGTGTGTGTGCTCATTTGAGGCATTTTCCTCTTACCAGTCAAGTGGTCCTCATTTGAGGCATTTTCCTCTTACCAGTTAAACTCCACCATTTTGCCTGTTAGTGCGTATGCTGGGGCCCACTTGCCGAACTCTTGAGATCTTATCAGGAAGCTGCTGACTACCAGCTCCAGGTATTTTCTGTCTATTAGAAAATTGCCTTTCTCTGGCACTGACTGCAACCAATTATTATTTTAGAGAGACAGTGTAACAACCATCTCACCATTACCTGATGGTCCCCTGACCTTCCTAGGTGGGAGGGTGGCTTTCTTGCCCTGCTCATGTCTGCCTAGCTACCTACTCTAACATACCTAAGCATTCAAATCTGCTTAGTTAGCAGATAAGATAGAGAACTGGCCATTTTTGGTGTGACCTTATTAGCATTTAACTCCTTGGCTATTCATCACAGACTGAGGTTAGAGGGCAAAACAATCTATTCTCATACCGAGAGTTTTCAGGCGCTTTAGTTTTCCTTTTGGCCACTTCCTTGACTTAAGTCAATCAGATCACGCCACAAATTATCACAGGATTCCAAGCAAAAGTGCAGTTGTGATGCCTCAAGACTCTTCAGAGCTCTTCTAGAAGTCCATAGACAACACAACACCACACCAGTCATGCAACACACTCTGGTGAGAGCAGCAAGAAAGAGCCTTTCAAACTTCCCCAGGCAATATTAGGGCTAAGAAAGCAGAGCAAGGCAACGAGGAAAACTCCATGAAATATCTGAAGAGGTGGTACAGTGCTATGTTTTGAATGTCTCCTCCAGAACCCATTTGAAATTGAATGTCCACTGTAACAGTTTTAAGAGGTGGTGTCTAATAGGATGTGTTTAAGTCATAAGGGCTCTGCCTTTATGAATGCATTGATGCCACTATAAAGAGGGCTTGGGGGAGTGGGTTTGCCCTTCCACCTTCTGCCATGTGAGAACACAGCAAGAAGGCCTCATCAGGTGCCAGTCCCTTGATCTTAGATTTCCCAGACTACAGAACTGTGAGAAATAAATTTATGTTCTTTATAAATGACCCAGTCCCATGTATTCTGTGATAGCAGCGCCAAAGGGATTAAGATAGGCAGTGTACTCGTCAGCTTGGGCTGCTACAACAAAATACAACAGACTGGATAGCTTAGAGAGAAAATAATTTTTTCCATAGTTCGAGGGGTTGGAAACTCCATGACCAAGATGCTTGCTTATTCTTTTCCTGATGAGGGCTTTCTTCCTGGCATGCAGATGGCTACCTTCTCACTGTGTCCTATTATGGCTTTTCCCTGAGGTGTACATGGAGAGAGCGAGAGCGAGACAGGCAGAGTGAGATCTTTCTTTCTTTTCTTATAAGATCACTAATTTCATCCTAAGAACTCTATCCTCAGGACCTATACTAACTCTAATTACCTTTCAAAGACCCCACCTTGATTGGGCTTCAGCATGTGAATTTTGGGAGGACATAAACATTTAGTTCATAACAGGCAAGAATCAGGCACTTCAGATGGCATGTTTCTTATACTCATGGTGTTAGGATCATGTAACAAAAAGGCTATTTCGAGGAAATACAGGGGATCAAGCTGCTCTTCAAGCAAATGAGAGGCTGAAGCTCCGGCTCCAGGCTGGGTTGCACTCTCTCAGGAATTTGTATGGAGGAGGGCAAGGCTTGTCTATAAAGTTCAGTGAGACAAAGAAGGTAACTACATGTGTGATAGTAACCTAGGCAGAAAGTAAAGATGAGAATCTAAAAGTCTACCCACCAAAACAGTATTTAGAAGAGACTTGCTAGGGAACAAATCCGTGCATGAGACAAAAGGCCTGAAGCCAGGGAAGCATTTGGGAATGGAGGTTCAAATCTGTAGTGGAAGAAAGAATGTGGAGAAATTCCCTTTTTAAATAAGTGGCAAATTTATACCTGAGCCCAGGGATATAAGGGAGCTTGGGTGGGTGCAAAGCCTGCTTAGATATAATAGAAACAGGAAGATGTTTCATCTCTGAGAATGGTAACCAGCAAGAATATGGTGAAAGGCAATTAAGCAGGCTGTACCCCAGAACTGGTCTTCAGCACATGGGAAAATGAAAATAAGAACCAGAAACTAGCAAACTAGACTTGATGACACATGTGGTATAGATTTCCTAAGGGGGATGCAAACAGGTTTTCATAGTGCTTTAAATTCAGCTTACTCTACACAGAGCTGACTCTAGATAGGGAGGCAGCAGGCAGTACTCCCATCAGACTTGAACCCCCACAGGAGGTAAATGTGGGATGCATGGACAAAAAGAACTGTTGTCCTTTTCCCTTGAGGTGGTCTTTGTAGCCATTACAAATGGTTACAATTAATAGAAATGAAGTCCAATTTTGTGTAAATTCATATGAGCACTCATTTTAGAAATGCGTTTATTTGCTTTTGTGAACAGTTGGCTTCTTTGCCATTTCTCTGGGCATGCAGTCCGGTTTGATTAAATCCTTATTTGTTATTGCACATAGCAATCTACGTCTGTCCAGCCCTTTCTCTTCCTCTCGCCCCCACTTTCTTCTTTTAGTATTGGCCTCTTTGTTTGGGATTATTATTAAATGAAATGGAGAGTGCAGGTAATTAGTGTGTTGATGTGACACTGACAGAGGCGTAAATGGGAAATTCAGAGGCAGCAAGCTGTGATAATTCCATTATAGGCTTTGCTTCAGTGGGGCCTTTGGATTCCAAAGACATAATGAAAACAGTAGGGGATTTGCAGTTTCACTGACTGAGGGTCTCTCTATGATATGCCAGGCTTCAGTGAATTAGATTTGAGATCCATCATTTTATTAGCAACATTTTATCAGAGTAAATTAGTGCCCAGGCATATAGTTCTCTGGGTTAAATCAATCAGTTCACCCAGAATGACTTTACCATCTCTAATAGGCAGTACTTTTCCACGGAGTTCTAATTTAGTTGAGTAATATTGTGTTGCTGTTAACTTCTCCTTCCTTTCACCTCCCTTTCTCCCAGTTGCATTAGAAACAGGCCTGGTTTTAAATATAGAGGCAAATTTGAAGTAAACTAAGCCAACTAAATGTAAAATGCAGTGATTGCTATTTCTCCTAACAGGAATACAGGCATAATTACTACATTTTCTCCCCTGTAAAGTCCCCAGTTAATATTGCAGCCTGAATAAACTGGAGAGGAAAGTTCCCTAGGATTAGAGATACAAGATGGGAAAAAAAAAAGAGAATTTTCAGAGAATTTTATGAAGGCCACAGATGCACTGGTTTAGCCAATAAGTATTTGTAAATTGCCCATGCTGTTCTCAGTGCTGTGTAAGTGTGTTCTTCTAGCTAAAATAATATTTGCATTGGCTTAGGAGCACTTCGAAGTGAACTTTCCCCTTGGAGACTATGGCTGTGATTCTGCTGGGAGGACTGGGGGAAATCTCATGCGTTTTCATATCATCTTAAGAATCAGCGCTTGTTTGACAGTTCCCCTGCTTAGTCCAAGGTTGTGTTTATAACAAGAATATGAGAGGCTGCATCAGGAATTGGGTATGGGAGCAGATGGCAAGACTGGAAGACAACTAATTATAGGAAAGCAAGGATACTCTCTGAGAAGGTTCGATAGGCAGGAGACAGTAGGCGGATATTAGGCATGCAGAGAGGCAGTTTAATAGAAATTTTTTGAGTTTTCATTTCATGGACCTCAGAGGCAACATGGCCCAGTGGAAGAACAAAAGTGGAGGCTGAAGTTGTTTGGTAAACATTGATATTGGATATAGCACATACAGAATAAAATGCACAGATTTAAAGGTGCCACTTGATTAATTTTTACTAAGAGAATTTATCTTTCTCCAGATTGAAGTAGGAAACATTACTAGCCCTTCAGAAGCCTTCTTGTGTTGCTGCTCCTCAGACCTCTCAAATAACCACTATCCTGTTATTGCGTTAGAATAGTTGAGCCTCATTTTGTATATCATATAAATGGAATCATATTTTATGTGTTCTTTTGTGCCTGCCTTATTTTTCTGTCTCTTGAGATTGATCCACTTTGTTGCATGTAGCAGTGGTTGATTTTTTCCACTACTGTCTGGTATCCTATTGGGCAAGCCACTGCAATTCTTTTCACTTCTGCTGATGGACATTGGTGTTGTTTCCAGTTTTGACTGTCACAAATAATGCTGCTAAGGACAGTTTTGATGCAATATATGTATATATGAATATACATGGAGTGAATATATATAATTCATATCTGATGAGTTTATACCTAGGAGAGGAATCGCTGTTTCCTAGAGTTTGTAATCTTCAACTTTAGCAGACACTGCCCAACTATTTCCCACCAAAAGTGTGTTCCCTCCATTTGGTTTACAACTAACTCATCATCGGATATTACTGGTTTTTCTTTCACATTTTATTTTTAGCTTTTCTAGTGGGTGCATTATGGAATCTCATTATGGTTTTAGTTAGCATTCCCCTGATGACTAATGATATTGAGACTATTTTAGTATTTTAATTGACTATTTGGATATTCTTTTTTTATGTACTCTTATTCAAGTCTTTGATACAGTTTTAATGAGATTGTCTATCTTATTAATCTGTTAGATCTCCACACATATGTTGGAGATATGTCTGTAGCAGCATTATTTATAAGGTACATGCATTCCAAGTCTCTCTCATTTTCTACTCTCTGGGCTGCTTTTTTACTCTCCCATGGTGCCTTTTGATGAGCCAAATTCTTAAGGTTAAGGAAGTCTAATTTTCTATTTTTTTTCTCATTATGGTGTTTTTAAAAATGTCTTATATATGTAACTTCTTCTTACCTAAAGGTCATAAAGGTACTTCCTTATGCTTTCTTTTATAAAATCTTTGATTTTACCTTATTCATCTAAAATTGTGTTTGTGTATATGGGATGAGATAGGAATAAATTTTTTCATATATATATATATATATATATATATATATATATTCCTTTGATCAAACACCTTTAATGAAAAGATCATTTTTCTGTTTCTATTATAGTGGCATCTTTGTCATAAATTAGGTATGTATGTATGAGTAGGTCTGTTTTTGTCTCTCTGTGGGTCTGTTTATACTTGAGACAATATATACTATTCTAATTTCTGTAAGTTTAAAATAAGCATTAATGTATGGTGGTAGTGTTATTATTACTTTTTTGTCTTCTTTCAATATAGTTTTAGATCTTCTTGGCCCTTGGTATTTTTACACATTTTAGAGTCAGCTCATCAATTACCATGTCTACTGAAACATACACTTATACATACCTATATGCCGAGACCTTGTTACTATATTGTTACTATATTGATTTGTATTTCAGTCTATCTTTAGATTAATTTGAAGAAAACTGACATTTTTACAATATTAAATCTTATGATCCATAAATATGGCATATTAATTTATTTGGGTTTTAAAAAATTTATTTTGGTACTGTTTGTAGCTTTCTGAGTAGATATCTTGAACATCTTTACTTAGATATTCCTAGATAGATAAGAATTTTTGTATAGCTCTTGTAAACAGAATTAAGTTTAAATGTCACCTTTAAAGTGCTTGCTGCTAGTATATAGGAATAGAATTACTTTAATTAATTGATCTTTTATTTACAGATGTTGATAAAGTGTATTAATTCTAGTAAGTGAACTGTAGAATATTTGGATTTGCTCATACACAGTCATCTCATCTGCAATTGATGAGAATTTTATTTCTTTCCTCCCAAATCTTCACATTTTATTTATTCTTTCCTTTTTCCTCCGTATCTTCCTATCTTCTTCCCTCCCTTTCTTCCTGTTCTGTTGTTGTTGTTGCCATTTTCTTATTGGAGGGACTATGTTCTCTGATACAATGCTGAATGAATTTGGTGACGGATGACATCCTTGTCTTGTTTTGGTCTCAGTATTTCATGGCCAGCCTCATCATTACCAGCACCTCTTAAAATATTTCCAATTCTCTATTCTCTCTTAACTCTATTTTTATTTATGTTAGACTTTTTCATTATGTCTCATATTTCTCTTTGCATTTTCTGCAGTTCATTGTTTTGTCTCTGCTTCAAATCTGACCTATTTTTGAGCCTTTTCTTCTCTGTCTAGTCTACTGTTAATCTATTGAATTCTTAATTTCTTTTATTTTGTTTTTTACTTCTACAATTTCCATTTGGTTTTTTTTTTTTTGGAATGTATCCCAATTCTCTGGTGCAATTTCCGTCCTTTCATCTATTTTCTTATGTATATAAATCATGGTTATTTTAATACTATTAATATATAATAATTGAGTCACTGTGAGTTGCTTTGTTCTTCCCTGCATTTTTTTTCTCATAATTTGCTGATTTTGTGGTATTTTCTGAGATCCTGCCACTTCTGCTGTATTCTATTCGTTAGAAGTGAGTCACAAAGTCCATCCAACACTCAGAGGACAGGGATTACACAAACCTGTGAGAACCAGGAGGCAGCTATAATCTGGGCCATTTTTGAGCCTGACAACAACATAATATTAGACAGTTTTAGCATTTCTGGCGAGCCGAGTGTTGGCAAGAAGAAAGCATACACACTGTAGACTACATTTTAATTAGGCAAGGGAGGCAAAATCTTTTGTGACGTGAAGTGTACAAAGCAGAAGCTTATGTCAGATTGTCAGAGAGCTTCTCTTAATTCCAAGTTCCTGAGAGTGGGGGACCTCAGTAGGGTGGCAGAGGAGGGAATGGCCCGGAGCTGCTGGTGACACAGTGCAAGCCGCCTGGTCTTTACAGGTCTGAGAAATTCAATTTCTCCTTATCCCAGAACCTTTCTCTACTAAGGACTGATGTTGGGACCCATGGTGAGTTACATGCAAGGGTTCTAGACCCAAACTGATCAGGTTTAACTTTTGGCTAATCACTTACCAGCCAGGTATCCTTGGAAAAGTTATCTAAGCTAGCTGCACCTCAGATTCTTCTATTGTAAAATGGGAACAAAAATAGTCCCTACTTATATGGTTGTTGTGGGAATGAAAGAAAACAAATCACATAAAATACTTCAGAACAGTGCCTGCCCACAGGAAGTGCTCAATAAATGCTGGCTATTATTTCTCTAAGCACAAAAGAGAAATAATTGCATAGTAGTATAAACCCTTCCCTTTGTGGGCATATTAACAAATATTACAATTTCCAGGTACGTGGACTTAGAGTTGTGGAGAAAGCAGGCATCTGTGTTCAGGCCTCTTGGCTCTGACTTTCTATGATTAGACACACTCAGGAAATCTGTTTTCTCACATATTAAAAGTTTCTGCAACGTGCTAGCCACTCAAAAAATACCGGTTACCTCCCCATGTTCCCTTTATTTCTATTTACAATCCAGTAGATCTGAAAAGACATCGCCACATAAAATGTAAATGGCAGAAGAAAGCAGCACCTGCTGAATGAATGGTTCAGGTGGAAAGCTTTCTAAGATCCCAGAGGAGGAAGTGATTTCAGGGTGAGGCACTCAGGAAATGGATTAGCAATTATCAAGGGAATTTAGTCTGTGGGACCAGCTGGAAAACATAGTGTAGGGTTGGGTCCTATTTTCTGTCAATTACCTGATACCTTAAGGAAAAATTAGGCTTTTTGTTTGAAATGTTCTGATAGTAGAAGCTCTGTCCCCCTATTTCCCCATATATCCTCAACTATTTAGTCTTGGTTTACTGTCAGTTAAAATGGAGTTAACTAAACCTTCCCACCCGCCCAGGCTGCTGATCTGAAATTCAGTAACATTTATATCTTCACAGAGCTTTCAGCTCCTCAGAGGCAAATTCTTCACAAAAAAGGAAGTTCACCCTTTTAATGATTATATGAATTAATAAGGAAGATAAATTATTCATTGTGGCAGTAACTGCTAGTCAATATGAGGCCAACCCGCTTACATTTTCATTAGAAATAATTCTACTTCAAATAGGTAACCTGCTATGTTAGGTGAGAGAATAGTTAAATGTGGAAGCATATTTTATAATTATGCCAATTAAATAATTTGATATCATTAGAATATTAACTTTTCCCCCTCAGTTTATTAAGCACTGAATGAGAGAAATTCTCAAATCAGGAAATAATTTTCCCCTTTCAAGAAAAGTCATTGGGAAAGTGTAAAAAAAATAGCTGTTTCACTTCTGAACTAAGAAATTTGAAATGGAACAAAATAATTGAAGGTACTTAGCCCAATAATTAAGGCTATTAACTACAGTCTTTATTAAATGTAGAGAAATTAATTATAATTTGTAATGTCCTAAAAGATTCACAACACCTGTTGTGGAATTTTTTTTGGTGGGTATAGGTTTTTAACTGGATTTTTGTTGTGCCTTCCAGGAGATACAAAAACAATTATAATTAATTATATATTTGTCTGTAAGGTGTTCTATAAAACTATAAGATGGTAGAAAATAGTTATTAATCACAAACACATCCAAAAGAGATTTACTTTCCTTTTTTATAGCAATTGCCAGTGTCATCTTAGTTGTTTCCAGGAACAGTTTTCTATGGTAGAAGCATGAGTTCATTTGCAATTTTGTGCCATGTTTTCCATTGCCATGGAAACTCACAATTTTCCTGATAAAGACTGGGCAAGTTGTGGGAGCAATCATGTAATCTAAACCTAAAACAAATGACTTCTGTATAATCAAAAGTTATTGTCTCCCATGGCTCATTGCTTAGCTGTAACCAGTCACAGAAAAAAAGATTCAAACAATACTCTTCCCTTCTCCAAACTTGCTTGATTTTTATCTGATGATGAGGCAAAACATTCTCAAGTAAAGAATAATGTTTCATTGACCTCTGTGTGGCTTTCCTACTAGAATCTGCCAGTAAGTTTTTATCATTTAGTATAAAATTTCATCAAATTTTCTTTTAAATTGAAGGGAAGAGTATTATTCTATAAGAAAGACTCAGGATATTGGTGTCTTTCCTGGCTTTTGTATTTTGATTTACAGCCCCTCCGTTTTCCTAGTTTATATATAAACTTGACTCATTGTATGAGTTTTCTGTTGTGACTATAACAAATTACTACAAACAGTGGCTTAATATAATAGCCACTTATTAGCTCATAGTTTCCATGGATCAGAAGTCCAGGCACAGTGTGCTTGGCTGTTTTCTCTGCACATGGTCTTATGAGGCCCAAATCAAGGTGTTGGCAGAACTGTGTTCATTACTAGAGGCTCTGGGAAAGAATCTGTTTGAAAGCTCATTCAGGATGTTGTCAGAATTTACTTTCTTCTCATGCTTTTCACATTGCCATTTCCATCTGCAAGGCATCGACAGTGAGTCAAGTCCTTTTCATGCTTCAAATCTCATTGGCTTCCTTTTTTTGCCACATTACCCTGCTTTTTAGGGCTCATGTAATTATATTGGGGCTAACTAGATAATCCAAAATAATCTCTTCATTTTAAGGTTAACTGATTAGTAACCTTAATTACATCTGCAAAATTTCTTTTTTTTCTTTTTTTTTTTTTTTGAGACGGAGTCTCTCTCTCTCTCTCTCGCCCAGGCTGTAGTGCAGTGGCACAATCTCGGCTCACTGCAACCTCCGCCTCCTGGGTTCACACCATCCTCCTGCCTCAGCCTCCCAAGTAGCTGGGACTACAGGTGCCCGCCACCACGCCCGGCTAATTTTTTGTATTTTTAGTAGAGGTGGGGTTTCACTGTGTTAGCCAGGATGGTCTTGATCTCCTGACCTCATGATCCGCCTGCCTCTGCCTCCCAAATTGCTGGGATTACAGGTGTGAGCCACCACGCCAGGCCAAAATTTCTTTTACCAACGTAACATACCCACAGGTATAATACCAAACAGTAAAGGTCATGAGGGCCAGAGTTCTGCCTATTACACTTACCCTGAAATATGAAAAAAGTAAAAAGCAATGATAAAAATTCCCATAAAAATTAGTAGATCTAACTGCATAAGATTGGAAAATTTTGAATGTCATAAAATAAGTAAGTTCAATGAATACAGTGGTACACATGTTTGCCATAAAACTAAAAATTGATATTCTCAAAACATTGGGAGTTCATGTAATTAACAAGAGGAAGTCTGACAGAAAAGTGGGCTGTCTGATTATGCATAGTCTAGTGTATCCTATCCCTGTATGCTGGCCAAAAATAATCCATCGAGATCAGTTTTGAGTGAGTGTATTCCTGAACCAATAATTCCAGCTATGAGGACAGAATATGCTGCAGACTTAAGCTAAGTATTTCATCCTCTGCTTAAAAATTTATAAGATGGCACTTCGGGGTAAAATTGGCAGAGTCATGCCAGATCATAGTCTCACTCTTTCTGAACCAGTAGGCACAAAAAACAATAATAACATAACACAGGAAACAATGAACCATAGACAAGCAAGGGCTAGCAATGTTTACTATCAATGCAATAAATTTCAAAATGTCTCAGACAAGAAAAAATAAAAACATAGGAATCTTAGTGCTGATCATAACTCAGCTTCTCTCCCTGTCCCCATCCAATCAACATAGGAAATGAGGGAAGAAGGTAAATTGGGAAAAATCTTTAAAACTATCTGTCTTAGGCTGATCCTTTTGAGAGGAAAAGGTGAGGCAAATATTGATATGTTAATATTTTGGGGGGAGGGCAGAATTCCACAACAGTTGGGGTATGGATAGGGGGAAGGGGAACTAAGACAAGATGCAGAATGGAATGCATGACTGTACTTGCCACCACTTTATGAGTTGCTGCAGTGACACGATAGTCAACAAGAGTCATATCTCTTGAAGTGTTGCCAAGAGTAAGTCCTTCTTGGCATAGTCCTTATTCCTCTGGCTTGCTGAGTGACCTGCTGTGCATCTTACGTTTTGTGAAGTGGTAGTGTGGCAATCACGTTGATTTTCTTATGCTTACTTTCCTTTTTTTTTTTTCCCTCTTCTTTTCCTGCCAAGGGCTTGCACCTCACAAATAAAATGTTATCACTTTAATTCTTGCTTCAGGGTATGCTTTCAGGAAAAAGTAGGTTACGACAATTGGTACCAAGCACAAGATTATAAAAACTAACCCTCATGATATAATTGTGAGTGAGTATGTTTATTCCTGAACCAATAACTCTGGCTAGAGGGACGGAATATGCTGTAGACTTAAGTTAAGCAAGACCTCTTCCTGGAACTGGGAGAAGGTCATTTCAGCCTTAGCCACCTGGCTTGAAAGTCCAAGGTCCTGTAGGAATGGAGAATGGAGGCTGACATGGTAATTAACAAATATTTTCTAATGATTTGCAAATAATTTTAGAAATATGTAGTCTCTCACTTCATCCCAGCATAACCATTATTTTCATGTTTTTCTTCCTTAAGTAAGTGCTTTATTTAGCATAGTTGTAAAATAACATGTTTTAAATTTTATATCATACCTTTTAATTTTGTCAAATCCTTGACAAATATTAACTACATAAAGTTACATTGAGTAGAATTTACCATAGTTTACATAACCTATCTTCTATTATTGAACATTTAGGTTACTCCTTCCTTATCATTTGCTTGTTTTGTTTTGCTTTATTTTCTATTAAATATGTTGGAAAGGAAGTATTTCTAAATGTTGTGAATTTTTATCTAAATGTCTCTATAAAATCATTTAATCTCATTGTCTATGTTTATCCCAATATAGCAACAAATTAAGAGATGGAATGTGCATATGTTTTATACCTGACTCTCTTACTGACTTCAGTATTTTTTCCTATTTGCTAATTTATTTAGAGTCAATCCAATTAAATGCTTAATGTTTTGCATATATGAAAAATGCCATGGTCCCCTCTAAGAACTTAGATGAAAGGGAGACTAACTTAGATGTAAGGGAGATTAACTTCTTAGAATTAAACCAATGAAATCTGTAGGTACAATGTACTCAGATACTTATTAATGCCTAATACAGGTACTTCTTGACTTATGATAGGGTTATGTGTCCTGATAAACCCATAGTGAGTTAAAAATATTGTAAGTTGAAAATGCATTTCATATACATAACCTACCAAACATTACAGCTTAGCCTAGCTGATATGGTTTGGCTGTATCCTCACCCAGAATCTCATCTTGAGTTGTTATCTCCATAAGCCCCATAATCCCCACGTGCCAAGGGAGAGACCAGGCAGAGGCAATTGAATCATGTGGGCAAGTTTCCCCCTTGCTGTTCTCATGATGAGTGAGTTCTCACAAGATCTGATGGTTTCATAAGTGGTAGTTCCTCCTGCATTTATTCTCCTTCCTTCCACCTTGTGAAGGAGGTGCTTTGCTTTGTCTTTACGTTTCGCCATGATTGTAAGTTTCCTGAGGTCTCCCCAGCCACGCTGAACTATGAGTTAATTAAACCTCTTTATTTTATAAATTAATCGGTCTCTGACAGTTTTTTATAGCAGTGTGAAAATGGACTAATACCCTAGTCTACCTTAAATGTGCTCAGAACATTTACATTAGCCTACAGTTAGACAAACTCATAGAACACAAAGACTTTTTACAATAAAGTGTGGAATATCTCATGTTATTTATTGAATGCCATATACTGTGTCAAAATAGTGACAGTTATACACCATCCTAAGATCAAAAATTCATGAGTTGAACCATTGTAAATCAGGGACTACTTGTAGAAGCAATGACAATTCTAAGCATTGTAAACTCAATAATAAACACAATGGATATAGGCCTGTTCTCATGAATAGATGTGATTAATAATTTCTGGAAGTAATTAAAAAGATTATTTACTAATGATTGAATCTAACATTGGAAAAAACTCTAAGCACCAATTACAATAAGATGCTTATAATTTTAGAAAGTAAAACTGAAAAGTTACTTAGATGTTATAATCTAATTGATTTTATTGCATTCAATTAGAAGATGAAATACGGGAAACAAAGAATTGAGATACCCCCAAATATAAAAGTAGTCAGTGTCTATTCCCCACTATATAGAGAAGAGATTTTGTTGCTGCATGGATTCTGGTAGTCTGGTCCTTATAAGAGGGAAATCTCTATTTGGAACATGGTGCCAAATTCATTTTGTTGTGATTTCTCACTATCTAATATTTCAACAATAGATTGATCTCCTGTGGTCTGATGACAGCACTGTTTTGGGTTTATCTTTCAGGCACACCTATTCGCCGAGGCATCACCTGGATCCTACAGAGTCAGGTAGGCTGGGTCAGCCATGCATGTTTGAAAAATGTCCTTAGGTCATTGTGTTTAAAATTGTGGATGAGATTTATTAAATAGGAAATGAAATGAAGTGGTTTGTAATGAACACATTTTTAAAAGGAAATAAAACATAATAGAAAATATCAGTATGTTGCATTGCTGACAGTAAGATATTTATGACAGTTTTGTGCTAACCCTTTTGGTCAATATTCTGGTTTTTCCATTTGTATTTGATTGTAACATTTGTCAGTCAACCAAGTTGTTAATTAAAAACCATCATGCCAGTTTCGTGAATGATTTATTAATTAATAGGTTATGAATTTTCCAGACTGGCTGGGCATGAACATCCTACAGAGTACTTCTTAAAAATTCAGATTTCTTGCATCCATTCTTGAATATTCCAATTCAGTTATTGGAGAGAAGCCTGGGAATCTGTTTTAACAAAGACCCCAGATGACTTTGATGTAACCAATTAAGTTGGATCTAAGTTTAGGAACCAAGTATTGGGTGATAAACTCATCACAAAGAAAACTCGTTTGTCTATTTATATGTGGCACTGGGGCATTTGGACCACCAATACTTAGGTATTTGCGGTATACCAATAAAGCTTCTGTGAGTTACCTGCCAAGTGTATGAAATTTCTCCAGGGATGTAAAATAAAAGTCCGTGATATGGAGAGAAAGATGGTGTTTCTCCTTAGAATGACATAATGCAAGACCAGTTTTCTCAGGACTTGGTAATGTTAGCATGATGTTTCTTGTGTTTTTATAAATAGCCACCTGGGAATGTATCAGAATATGTGAATTCCCAAAGGTGGATATCTCGGTTGGAAATAACTGAAATGATAAGCTAAGTGAAACTGTTAGAGAACAGGCATACCTATAAGTTAAAAAAGAAAGAAAAGAAAAGTTTTCTACTGAAATGATCAAGTTGCCGTGGGAACCTAAAGGCTCAGTTACCATATTTGAATGCATAACACTGTAAATTTTTTTAATGAACACCAAAACTGGCTGAAGATCAGTTCAGTGAAAGTAGTTTACTCTACTTTCAGAATGGTAACGCCTTTCAAAAAGAAAAACACAAATTATTTAACTCTAGATAGTTATTTAAAGGAGAGATTTTGATAAACCTCTAAAATTGCAAATAACTTTTGGTTTTGAAGCTTAAGCTAGAATATGAAGGGATCTTTGTTCATGTGAATGTTTATTTCTAATAATCTAGAGTCGGGGTGTCCGATCTTTTAGCTTCTGTGGGCCACATTGGAAGAAGAAGAATTGTCTTGGGCCACACATAAAATACACTAACACTAACAATAGCTGAAGAGATTTCTTAAAAAATCACAAAAAAAGTCTCATCAGGTTTTAAGAAAGTTTACGAATTTGTGTTGGGTTCCATTCATAGCTATCCTGGGCCACATGCGGCCCACAGGCCATTGGTTGGATAAACTTGATTTAGATCCTGCTGTATAGAATCTATCAAAGAGGGGTGATATTTAAAATGTTTAACACTGTGAGTAATTGTAATGGCTGTTGTTCTGGGAGTAGGCATTAACCCATTGTTTGGTGGATTATGAGAAAGTTCTGGGAATCATAGGAGGCTTGTTGTGGGTGGGATGGACAACACAGAAAATTCAAACAGCAAATATTTCCCAATTGGTATAAAATTATTTCAGAATTTTAACACATATACATTCAGTGTGTACTGTCTGACTTCCAGCAAGGCTTCAAAGGAACTTTTGAGCTTTTGATTTCAGATTGAAACTTGTGATAGTGAGGTAGCAATTAGATGTTTCTAGGGAGGCCATAGATGCTGCTAGAATAGCAAATATAGAACTGCATGAGATGATAAAGGTGATTGTCCAATGGACAAAGGAACTGGGCTGTATTGAACAAAGTATTGCTCTGTTCATTGAGGATATCATTGATACATGCATATAAACACACATATAGGTTCACATGTTTATACATATCTAGATATGTATAAACTATACATATCTAGATATGTATAAACTATACATATCTAGATATGTATAAACTATACATATCTAGATATGTATAAACTATACATATCTAGATATGTATAAACTATACATATCTAGATATGTATAAACTATACATATCTAGATATGTATAAACTATACATATCTAGATATGCAAATATAGTCGTGCATAGGCAAAACATTGGAGTCTCAAGGAATGAGAAATGTTTCTTTCCAAAAATTAAGTATGTCCATTTGCTTTGTCAAAATTTCTTCACCACAAGATAGATAATTCAGTCTAATTTTATAATTTTAAAATGATTTTTAGTAACTAAACTAATTAGGTTATTGCTATTATATCCATTAAAATAGGCTTGACTTGGTTAGTTCCAGAAGCTACCTGTAGCGGTGGAGGGCCAGCCAGGTGTTATCTCTGCCTTTTCTACCAAAGGGTACAGGTTATGGTCCAGCAACCACCCAGCCAGGGAGCAGCACCCCAATTACCTCTTCTGGCTTCAACACAATCAAAATAGCAAGAGGGGTCTCCCCTTTCCAGCAAGGACAGATATAGTTGCCTAGTCACAAACTCTGGGTCCCCCAAACGTACCCTCTTCCTCTCTCTAGGCCTCTTTGTATCAAGTGGGGAGGGGGAGGTTGTGATCATTCTTCTAAACTTGAACTGGCAGCTGATGAAAAAATGAGCGCCCTCAAATACAATTAAAAAAAATTCAAGTCATAACAAGGTAATTTTGCACCCATTATATTGGCGAAAATTATAACAATGGTTATATTTAATGTAAATAAAACATGCTATATATAACAGCTTAGTTACAATATAATTTTACTTAATATAGTATATATATAAAGTAATTTTAAATATATTTACAGTGTGGAGTTTCAGATACATTTATTCATTCCAGTGGCAGTGAAAATTGGTGTAATTTCTTTGGAGAAAGCTTCAGCAATATCTTTTAAAAGTGATTAGAAGATGCATACTTCTTTGGACCCTACATTTTCATTGCTAGGAATTTACCATTCATGCACAGTGGACAAGTAAAAGAGTCTTTATAGACTTGCTTTGGTTTTCCAGTTTCTCTAGAACCATGCAGGGTGCACATAGTCTCATTTCTCTCTTTCGGAATGTGTCAGTCACATGCTCCTTTATTTTTCCAATTACTTAGCAGTAACTTTTTTTTTTGTGATAGCAATTGTCTTACTGAGTACTTCTGGGCTGTGTGTATTTTGCTTATATTAACTCAGTTAATCCTCACACCAGTGAAAATTGTATTTTACTTTATTGTGCAGAGCAGTACTAGTTTCTTTCATTTGCAGTTCTTTCCTTCTACCTTATAAATGGTATGATTCGTGAATTGCTGGCATTTAAAATTATGCCCAATCTTGACCCATAGACCATATAATACGTACTCCCTAACACCCAGTGATACATTTACTTTTGAAAGACTTTGCTTTAGTCCTTAGCCAAGGCCTATTCTTGTCCACAGTCTGAGGAGGCAAAGGGTTGGGTAAGTGGTTGAGTTGCATAGTTTCTATTACAGATATAAGAAGGAATATTCTGGAAGTGGGTGAATTGTTTGCACTTGACCTGACTAAGTACATACGGAAATAAAACGTGGTAAATATGCAAGACCTCCCTCACACATCCAATAAAGACGCACTTCCTAAGACCCCTTGTCTTGGAGTGTCTTGCTGCTGGCCATACCCTGCTGCCTGGGATTTTCACAGGATACAATAATTTTAGAGTCAATTGAGGCTTTGGAAGCCTCTAAAACTAGTTACATGTTACGTGAAAGATGTTAAATAATTTTGATTTATAAACTTTATATTAAAAATTGAGCTATCAATTTCTTTAAAGCAAAGAGGGATTCATGGAGATGGGAAGATAACTTTTATTTTGGTGGTAGAAAATAGAAGTGTGCCCAAGTCTAGTGTTCTCAGCATCCTGGGCATTATGAAAGTAAAGAGGGATGGTATGAGGACACTCTGTACTTGCAACAGGGCCAAAGGACCACAGAAAATACGCCTCATGATTTAATGACAAGTTGACCCTACATATGCTTGTATGGACTGTATGTTCAGTTTATTTGAACCTGTATTTCTTTAGATGCCCAAGCAAGATTACATAAGTTGTCATGGAAAAAATTTTGTTAATTTCAGAATGCATGCCTATTGGTTTCTTCTTTAACCTTCTACTATTTGCTCTAATGTAAGAAATTATTTTTTGAAATCTAGAGATATATATTATATATATTCAAATAGCTAGAAGAGAGGATATTGAATGTTCCCAACACAAAAAAAGATAAATGTTTGATGTGCTAATTATCATAGATATGCTAATTATCCTGATCTGACCACTGTTAATGGAAAAACCAAACTCTGCAAAATATTTTAAAGAGGCTTCTTCCAAGTCAGTATGAGTGACTGTGGCCTGGGGAAAACATAAACCCAAAGAGTCTTGAATAAGTTGTCCCAAGGTGGTTGAGCTACAGTTTGGTTTTACACATTTTAGGGAGGCAGGAGTTACAGGCAGGGACCAAAATCAATATGTGGAATGTGTATGTTGGATTGGCCTCTAAAGGCTGGACATCTTGAAGTGGAAGCTTATAGGTTACAGGTGGATTCAGAGATTCTTTAATTTTCAATTGGTTAAAGGAGTAAGATTCTGTCTAAAACTTGGAGCCAATAGAAAGAAATGTTTTAGATTAATATAAGGATGCTGGATATTAGATATTAGACCTTTGTAGAATACATAGTTTGTGAATATTTTCTTATATTTCTAAGGTTGTCTGTTTACTCTGTTGATAGTTTCTTTTGCTGTGCAGGAGCTCTTTCATTTGATTAGGTCCCACTTGCCAATTTTTGTTTTGTTGCAATTACTTTTAAGGACTTAGTCATAATTTTTTTTCCCAAAGGCCAGTATCCAGCATGGGGTTTCCAAGGTTTTCTTCTAAGATTATTATAGTATGAGGTCTTACATTTAAATGTTCACTCCTTCTTGAGTTAATTTTTTTGGATATGGTGAAAGGAAGGTCTAATATGCAGAATCTATAAGGAACTTAAATAATTCAACGAGCAAAAAACAAAAACAAACCCATTAAAAGTCAGAAAAGATGTGAACAGATATTTGTCAAAAGACATACAAGCAGCCAATGAACATGAGAAAAATACTCAGCATCACTAATCATCAGTGAAATGCAAATCATAACCACAATGAGATACCATCTCACAGCAGTCAGAATGGCAGTTCTTAAAAAGACAAAAAACAACAGATGCAGGTGAGGTTGTGTAAGAAAACTTATACAGTGTTGCTGTGAATGCAAACTAGTTCAGCCGCTGTGAAAAGAAGTTTGAAGATTTCTCAAAGAACTTGTCAATCGAGAAAAATGATGAGAAAAGTCTCAATCGTTTTAGGAGTTTTATTTGCCAAAGTTAAGGATGTACACCTGGGAGACAGGTCTATGCCTTTCTCTGACGATGATTTTGAGGGCTCCAAATTTAAAGGGGAAAGGGTAGGGTATTGAGAAGTACACAATTTTCATGTGAGAGGAGGATAGGGAAAAATAGTCATTCTTGCCTTTGTCTGGCTCAGTGAATCTGTATTTTTTTACAAAAGATGGCATAAACAAATGGGGCAGAGGAAAAATGTGGGGAATCTGCCTTTTTACAAAAGATAACGTAGAAAAATGGGGCAGGGGAAAAATCAGATATGCATTTGTGTTTGGGCAGTGGGGGTGACTGCACCTGTAAAGATAAGTTATCAACTTACATTGCCATGGTGAAATATTAATAGAAACACCTTAGGGTAAAGATCTTGCAGCTCTGTAGGAATTTCCTTGTGGGAAAAATAGGGAGGAAGAGTGTAGCTTTTCGTCTTGTAGCCATCTTATTTAGGAACCGAAAGGGGGAGGCAGGTTTGCATGACCCAGTTCCCAGCTTAACTTTTCCCTTTGGCTTAATGAGTTTGGGGTCCCAAGATTTAGTTACCTGTCACAAACCTAGAACTACCATTTGTCCCAGCAGTCCCATTTCTGGTTATATACCCAAAGGAAAATATATGATTCTACCAAAGAGACACATGTACTCGTATGTTCATCACAGTACTATGCAAAATAGCAAAGACATGGAATCAACCTAGGTGCCCATCAGCAGTGGATTGGATAAAGAAAATGAGGTACATATATGCCATGGAATACTACACAGCCATGAAAAGAACAAAATCATGTCCTTTGCAGCAACATAGATGCAGCTGGGGCCAACATTATAAGCACATTAACACAGTGAATCTAAAATAAAAGTTGAAATTATTTTTAACAAGATAAGGATGCTACGTAGCCAAACTGATGGTCTGCATTTGTGACTTGACCCTTGTCTTGCATGGCCTTAGGTCTTATTTATAATTCAGAGAATCAGTTCTTTTTAGTTTTATGGTCTCTGTTTTAGTGTTAATGCTGATCAGTTGTTGTGCCTGAACTCTGAAAGGGAGAGAGTATAACCAGGCAAATCCCACTTCCATTCCCATCATGGCCAAGAATTCAGGTTTTAGATTTTTTCTGGGGTCCTCTTGGCCAAGAGGGGTCTGTTCAGTTGGTTGAGGCTTAGGATTTTATTTTTAGTTTACACCACTGTCCATTGTATATGTAGAAACATCACCATGTACCCCACATCCATGTACAATTATGTATCAATTAAAAGAATAAGAATTGGCTGGGCACCGTGGCTCACACCTATAATTCCAACACTTTAGGAGGCCGAGGTGTGCTGATCACTTGAGCTTAGGAGTTCAAGACTAGCCTGGGCAACATGCCAAAAACCCATCTCTACCCAAAATACAATAAATTAGCTGGGCACAATAGCTCACACCTGTAATCTCAACACTTTGGGAGGCGAAGGTGGGCGGATCACTTGAACTCAGGAGTTTCAGACCAGCCTGGGCAACATTGTGAAACCCCATCTCTACCAAAAATACAAAAAATTAACTGGGCTTGGTGGCACACGCTACTCAAGGGGCTGAGGTGGGAGGATCGCTTGAGCCCAGGAGGCGGAGGTTTAAGTAAGCCGAGATCTCACCACTGAACTCCAGCCTGGGTGGCAGAGTGAGACCCCATCTCAAAATAATAATAATAATAATAATAATAATAATAATAATATAATAATAATAATAATAATGAATTCTAAAGACAAAATTTAAGAATAAAGATTTATTTTAAAAGATAAGCTATTATTTTCACTTACAATGCAGGATGAATGAACCTTCTTAGATTCACTTTACATGTCTAATATTTCTCAATGCATACAATTCAATTTTGAGTTACCTGTTAGGACATTATTTCTGAATAAAAGATTTGAAATTGAATGTTACAGGTCACAGATCAGTATTTATGTAGCCATTTTATGCTTCAGAAAGCTAGCTTCTTAGAATACTTGATTACCAAATGATATTGTGTACAAAAACATATAAATGTGAGTGCTAGAAGTTGTTTCAGTGCTGGGAGAGAAGAAATAAATTGCATAGTCTAGAGATGAGACATAAAAAGCAAAATCAGTATCAGTTATTTAAAAAGAATCCATTTACTTCTTTTAAACTGTATTGTTAGCCAAAAAAGTAAATGTACTAAAACATGAGTCATATAATAGCCACGGGAAAGTTGGTTTCCCTAGTCCAAACCCTTTTAAATAAGTGATTTATAAAATAATTGCTACAGAGAAGATGCTGCAGTGGTGTATTGCTGGTGTCTATGTGAGTGAAGTATTGCAGAATATCTCCTGTGGATATGAGTTACAGGGTTAATACATCCACACATGAACAAAGAGACCACAGGTAAGAAAGGAACTAAGTTGGCATATGGAAACAACAAAAAACTAAAATAAAATCGCTTGCTGATTTCAGTTTGTGTTGAAAAGTCTTTGGCTATGGCTAGTTACACCAAAAGTATAATAAAATAACTTATTTTTCCTGACAGAGTATTTTATGCTTCTGGGAGCTGTGTTGGACAATTCACAGGTGTGTTAATATATAGCGTGATGCAACCTCAATCTTAAATTTGGCCAGGTTTTTGCTGGCATGATCTTTGAAGATTTTGCTGCCAAAATCTATTTGATGAATAAAATAAGTTTAAAAGTGCCAAAGGAGGAAAACAAACAAATACACATATATGTATATAAAATCAGTATCATAAAATGGCAAGCACCTCATTTGCATTGAAGTTCCTCTAGGTTTTATCACATGCTATAGAGGAGAGCTATAAAGTGGTTTTCTTTGTTGTCATTTTGGGAGATTTGGTGAATGAGAGTTATGGATTTAGAAACTCCTGAAACATAGGGGGAAATGTTAAAAAATGGGGAAAGAATAAACAGCTGAAGTGATTTTAACAGACTGTTTGGGTAGATGTTTGCATTTGAAAATAGAAGAGAAGACAAGCTCCAAAAGTCCTTCAGAGTAAGGCAGCTTCTGAATACAGGGCAAAAGTTTGGTGTTTAGTCGTGGGTCTTCTTCTAACTATCTGAGTGCTCTTCTTAATCCTTTGTTTCTGAAAATGAAATTGGTTTTATCTGGTAAACTGACTTGAACAGTATCCTCCCAAAATTCACATTCTTTGGAAACCTTAGAATGTGACCTTAGGAAATAGAGCCTTTGCAGATGTAGTCAAGGTAAGACACATTCATATTGCATTAGGATAGATCCTAATCCTATGACTTTTGTCCTTAAGAGAGAAATTTAGACATTGACACTCAGAGAGAAGGTCATGTAAAGACAGAGAGATTGAAAGTGATGCACCCAATAGCCAAGGAACACCAAACACTGCCAGCAACCACCAGAAACTAAGAGAGAGACATGGAACAGATTGTCCCTCAGAGCTTCCAGAATGAAACAACCTTGACAACACTTTGATTTTGGACTTCTGGCCTCTCAAACTGTGAGAAAATACATTTCTGTTGTCTTCAGCCACTAAGTTTGTAGTACTTTGTTACAATAGTCCTAGGAAACTTATATACCTAGTTTACAAACAGAGTAGAAACTTAAAATGACATTTCAAAAGCTAGTATAGGAATAATCTTTTATATAAAGAGTCTTACAAGAAACATCAGAAAGTGAGCACAAGCAAGAATACATTTTAAATATTTATAATTATCCTTTAGGGATTAAGATTCCCCAATGTTTTACAAGCATAATTTTGGAAGGAGGCTTCCATTCAGCTTCCCATTTATCACAAACCTTTATTGAAATCCTAAGAATGCAGAGAGATGCATGTGGTTGCATTAAGCAGCTCGAAAACCTGGCAGGTGAGGCTGCAAACTTTATCAAGATAAATTTTATCTTCATGGATCTCTGTTACATGAGGATTAATGTCACATACTAGGCATATATTACTTTTCCAACTCTAATGTCAATAAGAATGCAAATACAAGAAAGAGCAAGTAGAGCT
Source organism: Homo sapiens (assembly GCF_000001405.40). Taxonomy (NCBI): domain Eukaryota; kingdom Metazoa; phylum Chordata; class Mammalia; order Primates; family Hominidae; genus Homo; species Homo sapiens. Next base: position 53,733,961 of record NC_000018.10, on the reverse strand, counting down.
TTAATCTAAGAAATGAAGATTTATAATAAAGGTATTTTTTAAGCTCCTTGGAAACTGACTTTCCACTCCTAAGCATTGGGATGGAAATGCTGAAATTATACCATAGCGTAATTCTTTTTAGCTCGACTTCTATTTAGGGAAGGAGATAAATAACACATTGCTTTTTAATATAAATGATATACTAACTACTGTTTCTCTGTTTACCTTTGGGCAAATGATTGCAATGGCCGGACAATTATCTTTTTTCCCCATTTTGTTGGTATATTACTGGGTTATGAAAGAGAAACCAAATTAACTAGAAAAGGTCAAAATTTTGGTCACAGGTATCTCTCTGACTTCCCTAATTTCTTTCTGCCTCATTGCCTATAAGAAGACATTTTTATCTGGAATTGAAGAGGGTCTGCAAGGACCTGCAAAGATTAGCAATCCTGCCTCTTTGGAACTTCACCTTTTTCAGGAAGATATGAAAGAATCCTGACTTCCTGAGGAATAGAAGATCATTGATTTGGATGTAGAACAAACATGCCTCCTAGAGTAGGTGTGTTATTCTTGGTGCCTGAAAGCAGATCAGAAAAAGACAATATTAAGGGCCCTCTTTTTCCAATGAATGAATATGGCATTTAAATCAAGGATGGCATGGAATGGATATTTATATAAATTTGTTTTAAATAATTTCTGTGACTTTGTAGTTTGAGCTGGGTTTAAATATTGATATAATTTGAGGACATCTGAATGTTTCCCCTGGACCACAGTTCCTTAACCCAACACTTGACTTGCTGGTCATTACTGATGATATTGCTAGCACTGGATGTGGTTATAGGATTTAAGTGAAATGTTCTTCAAACTTCAAATTTCTGCTGGTTTTTTTTTTTTTCGCCAAGTATCCACTGGAACACAGCTGAATCGATCAGTCTTAATACCTAGAAGAATACCTGTCTCAGATAATTTAGTGGTTCTACAAACATAGACTTGTGCTTTTAAATTCCCCAGTCAACAGTAATTGAATGAATCAATCAATCTTTGAATCCATGGAGGAAAAAGTTTTGAGGATTTTAAGGTCGTATCTATTCCAAACAGATTTTAGGAGATATTGAAGGAAAGACTGAAAAAGACATAAAAATAGACCCTTGGAAGTTGTATGCCCTTACAAGTGAGATCAGGTCAGAATATATCATGAGTATTCACCACATAAGTTCATTAAAAGAAAGATAAATACAGTCTCAAAAGATTTCATCTAATTAATTAGCAAAATAGTCTTAAAAAGGAGACATTTAAAGTAATTTATACAATGTATATTGAGAAAATATTCAAGAAGAGTACGTGATGCAAAGTCAGAAAGTTGAGTCAAATCTTACTAGTATTAATGGAATGTTTAGATACATAATTTCTATTGAATACTTTTAAAAAAATTCATTTTGCTTGTCAAACTCTCTCAATTTTCCACTTGCCTAGTTTGGGTAAGTATGATAGAAGAAAATAATCCAAATGAAAATGTAGAATGGCAGAATTACAGAGTTTAAAATAATTTAGAAATCAATTTATGACATTCATTTCTAGTAATGTTGTGGATTAGGAACCTGAGTAGACATCTACTGGAGAAAGAACAATCCTGAATAAATATTAATGACCTTAAATAAACTGAAGAGTTGCAGGAAAGCAAGGAATTCTCAGGTTGAAAAAACTAATCAAAGGCAGAAATCCAGAGAAACAATCAAACAAACAAACAAACAAACTCATAAGCGTATTTACTGGGCCTGAGAAGTTGGGCTGCGTTTTGAAGGACTCTCAAGGTCTAGTGGAAAAAAGTATCCAAGGCCTATGTAAGGTATGAAATCTATTAGGTTGGTGCAAAAGTAATTGCAATTACTTTTGCATCAACCCAATACTATGAATCTTTACTTCATAAAACTAAAGTGTGCATAACAGTGATCCAGAAATAATCTCTGCCACACTCAAGTAGGACTACTGCAGGAGAAATCAGCTAGCACAAAATATGGGACTGAGATGAAGGGGAAAATATCATGAGTGAACATCTGGAAACACCAGCTTGACCTCATGCAGTTTTGCAGCCTAAATTTGTTACCTTTGAGATATAAAACTTTGCATTAAATGAAAATAGATGTTGACTAATAGTTCCACAGGCAATTGGAAGACGTGAATATAGTTCTTAAAGGATCTTAAGCCTCGAATGTTTCCCAAACACAGGAAAACAAAGTACTATGAGCAAGAACCAGCAGAAAAAGACCTTCAAAGTCTTCAGATGTTATAATTTTCAGGTACAAATTATAAAATACCTATGCTTGTCAGGTTTAAAGAAATGAAAGATAAACTTACAGTTGTGTGAATGGGACAAACAATAAAGAATGATAAAATATATTTGTTGAAGAACCAAATAGAAGTACAAATAATAACACTAAAAATTAAAATACAATGTAAGAGGGAAAAACTATAGAACTGAAACAAAAATAATAAACTAAAAATTAGGCATAAGGTTAAAAAGCTTGCATGATTTAGCAAAAGGAGATAAAAATATGGAACATATTATAAAGGGTTAAGGGGCATAGAGGATACAGTGTGAATGTCTACCATATGTGTAAATGGAGTTGTAGAGGACATAAGATAAAGAGTGGGCAGAGACAGTATTTGAAAAATATAATATCAGAAAAAAAATTCAAGAACTAATAAATGCACAAACTCTTAATTGCAAGATGCAGCCTCCCACCCAAAGCAGATTAAATTTTTAAAAAGTTTAGTCAAAACAACAAATATAAAAATATGATTTTAAAAGCAGACATTGAGTTCGAAAGAGACAGAACTACATCTAACTTCTTATTAGCAACAGTGGAAGGCAAAAGACAGTGGAATGATGTACCAAGAGAAAGTAGCTATCATTCTAAAATTGTATAACCAGCAAAAAATGTCTTTCAAGAATGACAGTGCAATAAAGACATTTACCAATAAGAGAAACTGAAGAGAACATTTTGCCACCAGACTTCCACTAAAAGAAACCTCAATGGATGTACTTGAGGCAGACAGAAAATGATGCAAGATGGAAGGTCAGAGATCCAATACAAAAATAAAAAAGTACAGAAAGCAGCAAGTGTGTGTTCAAATTTCTGTGAGCACGTACTGTACAAACCATGAATACTAATGTCAATTCCAAGTGAATTAAAAACCTAAACCTAAAACCAAAATCTATAGAGCTTTCAAAAGTTAATGTCCAAGGACATCTTCATGATCAAATTATAGAGAATCTGGATTAAGAAAATGTGGCACATATACACCATGGAATACTATGCAGCCATAAAAAATGATGAGTTCATGTCCTTTGTAGGGACATGGATGAAATTGGAAACCATCATTCTCAGTAAACTATCGCAAGAACAAAAAACCAAACACCGCATATTCTCACTCATAGGTGGGAATTGAACAATGAGATCACATGGACACAGGAAGGGGAATATCACACTCTGGGGACTGTGGTGGGGAGAGGGGAGGGGGGAGGGATAGCATTGGGAGATATACCTAATGCTAGATGACGAGTTAGTGGGTGCAGCGCACCAGCATGGCACATGTATACATATGTAACTAACCTGCACAATGTGCACATGTACCCTAAAACTTAAAGTATAATTAAAAAAAAAAAATTAAACAATGTTTATAAATAATTACAGTTTTGATTTCCTTAAATATATAGATTGATTTTCATTTTAAAAATGTTTTAATAAGTTTCTAACTAGTTCTTATAATCTAATAAAATAAATTTAGAATTATAAAAAAAAATACCCCACTAACCATAAAGAAAAATATTACTAAATTAGATTACATTCAAATAAAGTCAAAGCTTCTGTTTATCTAAAGGCACTATGGAGAAGAAACAAGAACCAAAAAAGGAAAAAGCTACAATCTGTAAGATATAGAACTAAGAAAATGAATATCCTGAATATATAAAGAATTCCAATAAATTGACAGAACAAATGGCAAACAACCCAACAGAATAAAAGACAAAAGACTTGAATAGGTATTTCATGAAAGAAGATATTCTAGATAGCCAATAAACATCTGAAATGATGCCTATCTATATATAAATATAGATAGATACATAGATATAATAGTAAAACTATTTACCGGCTAAAAAATATAAAAGAAATATTTTGGTTGATATTTTAATCTCTCAATATAATGAAAATCTACTGTTTGATAATATTTTTGAAAACCAGGTAACTAGTTACAGATTTTTATTCTCTTGACTAGAGTATATGTGCATTTGTGCATTTGCTAAGAGGCAAGAATCCCTGGGAGGGTCTCCCTGTTCACAATTAACATCCATGCATATCCTACTGATTAGCACTTTATTTAGGGGTAATAACCTACTTCCAAATCTGAAAACAGCCCACCTCGATGGTATTAGAATAGTGATATGTAGTAATCATTCATGCCTAATATGAATTAATATAACAGTAAAATTAGCTGAAGGTAGTGAAAAGAATAAAAGAAGAGGACATTGAACTTTCAGAAATGATTTGTAAAAATAGGCCTTTAATTATGCCTATCTGGCTGTTTCAAGAATAAGAGTCTTTTCAACAGGTGATTAGAAGACCAAGTTGCCACAGAAACTCAGACTCTATGTGGACCTGCACATTCCTGGCCATCACAATTCTTTTCAAAGTTCTCTGAATTTAATGTGTGTACAACATGCCCACAGCCTCCCCTTTTTACCCCTACTTCAGTTTTAGTGATGGGTTTGTCATTTGAGGGGACTTGATGGGGTTTTGATGAACTCATTCCCTCACCAAAGTATCTACTTGAAGAGATCTGTTTCTCTTGTCAGATATGAAGAAAGTGAACTTGTGTTAGTAGCAAAGCTGAGACTGAGTTAACATCTGATTTGGCCCTGGCGCTTGGAGTTTCAAAATTTTTTCTTTGAACCTGTTGTGAGCATGAAAAAATATTAAGCTTCTAGGAATATCACAAGGAGGCTTAGCACAACTTAAAACTGCTAATGTATTGAATAGTTACAGAGTATCCCTTAGTGATAGGGTTTAGATTTGTGCTCCCACATAAATCTCAATTTAATTGTAACCCCCAATTTTGGAGGAGGGGCCTGGTGGTAGGTGATTGGATCACAGGGGTGGATTTCCTTCTTGCTGTTCTAGTGACAGTAAGTGAGTTCTTACAAGATCTCGTTGTTTAAAAGTGTGTAGCGGCGGGGCGTGGTGGCTCACGCCTGTAATCACAGCACTTTGGGAGGCCAAGGGAGGCGGATCACCTGAGGTCAGGAGACCAGCCTGGCCAACATGGCAAAACCCCATCTCTACTAAAAATACAAGAATTAGCCAGGCATGATGGCTCATACCTGTAGTCCCAGCTACCCAGGAGGCTTAGGCAGGAGAGTCACTTGAGCCTGGGAGGTGAAGTTCACAGTGAGCCAAGATCGTTCCATGGCACTCCAGCCTTGAGGAAAAGAGTGAGACTTCATCACAAAAAGAAATAATAAATAAAAGTGTGTAGTAACTCCCCCTTCTCCCTCTTCCTTCTTCTTCAGCAATGTAAGGTGTACCTGCTTCCCCTTTGCCATCTGTTATGATCATAAATTTCTTGAGGGCTTCCCAGCCATGTTTACTGTACAGCCTGTGGAACAGTGAGCCAGTTAAACCTTTTCTTTTTTTATAGCAATATGAGAATGGAGTAATATGGAAAATTGGTAGCAGAAGTATCTTTATATTGCTATAAGGATACCGAAAATTTGGAAGCAGCTTTGGAACTGGGTAAACAGGCAGAGGTTGGAACAGTTCGGAGGGATCAGAAGGAGACAAGATGGAAAAGTTTGGAACTTCCTAGAGACTTGTTGAATGGTTTTGACCAAAATACTGATAGTGATATGGACAGAGATGCAGGCTGATGAGGTCTTAGATGGAGATGAGGAACTTATTGGGAACTTTGAACCTGAGAGAGATGATTTAGAGTATCTGGGGGAAGGCATTTCTAAGCAGCCAAATGCTCAAGATGTGGCCTGGCTGCTTCTAACTGTGTATCTCATATGTGCAAGTAACGAGATGATCTGAAACTGGAATGCAAACTTAAATTTAAAAGGGAAGCAGAGCACAAAAGTTTGGAAAATTTGTGGCCTGACCATGTGGTAGAAAAGAAAAACCTATTTTCTGGTGGAGGAATTAAAACTGGCTTCAGAAATTTGCGTAAGTAAAGAGGAGCTGAATGTTAATAGAAAAGACCTTCATTGTAGTCCCTCCCATCACAGGCTTAGGAGGGAAGAATGGTTTAATGGACTGGGTCCAGGGCCTGGCTGCCCTGCGCAACCTTGAGACACTGTTCTGTGTGTCCTAGCTGCTCCAGATCCAGCCGTGGCTAAAAAGGGTCCCATATATCTCTCAGGCTGCTGCTTCAGAGGGTCCAAGCCATAAGCCTTGGCAGCTTCCGTGTGGTATTAAGCCTATGGGTGCACAACAGGCAAGAGTTGAGCCTGGGGAGCCTCCACCTAGATTTCAGAGGATGTATGGAAATGGCTGGATGTTCAAGCTGAAGTCTGCTGCAGGGACAGAGGCCTCGTGGAGAACCTCTACTTGGTCAATGTGGAGGGGAAATGTGGGGTTGGAGCCCCCAAACAGAGTCCTCACTGGGGCACTGCCTAGTGGAGCTGTGAAAAGAGGGACATGATCCTCCAGACCCCAGAATGGTAGCTCCACCAACAGCTTGCACCATACACCTGGAAAGCCACAGGCACTCAACACCAGCCCTTGAGAGCAGCCATGGGAGCTGAGCCTTTTGGAACCACAGTGACAGAGCTGCACAAGGCCTTGGGAGCCCACCCTTTGCATCAGTGTGGCCTGGATGTGAGACAGGGAGTCAAAGGGGATTGTCTTGGAGCTTTAAGATTTAATGACTGCTCTACTGGGTTTTGGACTTGCATGGGGCTTGTATTCTCATTGTATCTTGGAAGTAACTAACTCATTTTTTATTTTACAGGGTCATAGGAAGGGATTTGCCTTGTCTTAGATGAGACTTTGAACTGTGGACTTTTGAGTTAATGCTGAAATGACTTTGGGGAACTGTTGAGAAGGATTAATTGTATTTTGCAATGTGAGAAGGACATGAGATTTGGGAGGAGCCAAGGATGGAATGGTATGGTTTGGATTTGTGTTCCCACTCAAATCTCATGTTGAATTATAATCCCCAATGTTGGAGGAGGGACCTGGTGGGAAGTGATTGTAATATGGCAGTAGATTTCCCTCTTGCTGTTCTCATGATAGTGAGTGAGTTCTCAGGAGATCTGGTGGTTTAAAAGTGGTAGCACCTCCCCCTTCTCTCTCTCTCTCTCTCTCTTTCTCTGGCCATGGAAGACATGTCTGCTTCCCCTTTATCTGCCACCATGATTTTAAGTTTCCTGAGGCCTCCCCAGCCATGCTTCCTGTACAGTCTGTGGAACTGTGAGTCAATTAAACCGGTTTTTTTATAAATTACCCAGTCTCAGGTAGTTATTTATAGCATTGTGAGAACAGACTAATACACCTAGGTATCATGATGAAAAGTATAACATACATATGTAACACACATAAGTAACATAGTATTACAGCTATCGTATAACACATATATGTTATATGTAAGTCTGTGTATATGACTTCCTGTAAGGTAGCTATATACATATAGATGTAGATATGGAAATGTAGATGTAGATATAAATGTAGATATATTTTCTTGGGCACGAATAGGAGAAATACTCTTTGCCAGGTGTGTTTAGGGTTTTGTTGAGCATGGCTTTCTGGTGGAAAACACATACGTTCAGTGACTGTGTGTAGCCCTAAATGTGTTTGTGCCAGCTTTCCTAGGGTTCCCAAGAGTATTAGTTCTCTTTTGAATGTTTAATGGAGTTTTAGGAGGACCAGGATCCATTTTTCAGGATCCACAGCATGCTTCTGTGGGTTTCTAGGGTGACATTCAGGAGGACAAAGTCTGGTTTGACTCAGAATCTTCAGGGAATATATTAGTTTCATCTTGCCTGTGGGCATATCATGGAAATAAAAGTATAAACATTTGCCACTTGGTAAAAAAGAACAAACAACTCAAAATTCAGCATAGGCCTTGGGAACTACAGTCAGGACTGGTGGCAGGACAGTCTGAAATGCATAGGTGATTGGCCTTTGTTCTTCTTCCCCTGTACAGTGCTGAGAGATGTACTTATAGTCAACTGTGTTGGCCTAATAAAGCTGAAGGTGATAAATGTGAACTGTGATTATGCTGAGTGAAATGTACTGTGCTCTGTAATCCATTCATGTATTGACTGCATAATTCCAAGATTGATGAGGTACACCATCTCAAATGGGCTAATCCTTGGCTGAAATCCTGACTAGCCTATGTGTATTATGGATCTGGCCTTATAGAAAATGGCTGGGCACCAGAAAACCTGTCATGGACCTTATTCACTCAGATGCTAACATCTACAGCTGTGCATTTCCAGTGAAAATTTGGGGTCTGTATGCCTGCCATTCCTGGAAGCTAAAATGCCTACATATCTCTGCCATGTGTTCTGACTGCACTGACCTTCTTCTGTATTTTTTAATAAGTAAAACTATTTAATTTGCCCATTTAATTTATTTAGAGCCCTGATGTGGTAATTCCATCTGTCTAAATCCAGTATTGTTACTATTCATATAGTAGCCATGTGAAGACATTAAAAATAATGCTTACATGAAAAATAGAAAAAGAAAAAGGAACCTACCCTCACTAGACAATCCCTTTCTAATTTTGGTTCTCTCCCAAATAACAACCTATTTCACTTGATAGAGATTAAAAGACACAATACCTGGAAAGATGGAAAGAATCAGCTGATCACTGGAGGCTTTGTTTCTTCAGTGAGATGTTTGATTAGCATATACTCTTCTTGTTCTCTCTTTGAGAACTTTCATTATCTAGTTACTGTTAGCTACGCAGCTTGGCCTTACAGTTCTTATCCTATCTCCTTTATTAGTAGACGATGTAGACAGAATGACATATATCCTACCTATCTACTAGGGGAAAATTCACTACTCTAAGACAAAGAAACTAGAGATTTAAAGGAGAGCATTTAAAAGATAGGGGAATATAGAAAATACAGCAAAATGAAGGCTTAACACTAGAATATGATCAACCTTTAAGCTGGAAAATAAGGAGATAATGAGACTACTGCTCCCAAACAATCTTTAATAGAAATTACACAAGTTAACCATACAAAAAAGAACCAAAATTCAAAGGAAAAAAAAAAAGAAAGAAAAATCAATCCCAATCTGAATCAACTAGTTGAATGTTTATTAAATTTTCTTAAAATTTTTCAAATAACTTATTTTCTTTCCTCAAGCCTCCAGAGGTGCCCACCCAGCCTGCATCATTCTCCAACAACATGGGATTCTTCACTAGCTGTCTTATCTCGAACATCTCCCAGGTCAGGTCTAGAGAGAGTTTTGTTATATTCTGAGAACTCTAGAATAAAAGGGGTCATAGTGCTAAGGTTATAGATTTTAAATATTCACATGATAGAACCACAAGTTTTGGGTGGTTTGTCAAAATGAATTCAAAGCCCTTAGAAATGCCTTATTTTTCTTGACTTTCCAAAGCATTGACATTGTTTTACAAGGTTCAGAAAGAGGGTAGCAGGCCTGAAAGAGTAGGAACCTGAGCTCATGGCTCCCATATAGCTACTTAGAGTTCTTGGATATCCTAGAATTATGGTGACACTGATGCGTTCTTGAAACAAGGCCATAAGTCTTTGGCACAACTAACAGTTGCATTGTTGGGTGTTATAAATTCATAGAGCTTGTCTAGTTCTCATTGATTCATTTTCTTATATAAATCATCTTGAAAATATAGCATCCAATACATGAAAACCTGGTGAGGTTCCCGAAAATAAAACATACTAAGACTGCAACCACCCCTATCCCCAGGAGTTTCTCACTTTCCAGACAACCCACACTCTGCCCTCAGCAATTTGTCAAAGTTATCCCTTAAATGTTTCTGTCAGTTGATGGCTCCACATAAGCTGATCTTAGATATGAATCTCTGAATTTCTGTATTCACCCATCTCTTCAGTTTTAGGATGGTGGTTTTCCCCAAGACCTCAATTCTCTGATGGGTCTAAGAGAAGTCATTGATTTTCAATGTGTTCAGCTATTTTATTATCGTAATGATGGATGTGATGATATCCATGCTCATTACATGTTAGAGCTGAAACCAGAATGATTCCACAAGTTTTTATATGTAATATGGAAAAAGTAATACCTTTCTATAAGGATTATAGAAAGCAAGGCATGAAATACAGTGTTTTGGGTATTGTTGGTGCTAGATAAATGCTAGTTTCTGAACTCATCATATGGCATGTAAATGAACTATAGACCTTGTCCTATCATGTGTTTTGTTAAGCTAGTTCTCCTCATTTTGTATGTTTATGGTTAAAAGTTGTGAACCCAGGAGAGGGAATTTGCTTTGATCTCTGTTAAATTTTATAGCTTTCCTAGGTGTATATTAAACAGCCATTATCATAGCTAATGAGGTAGAGATCCACATGAAGCTTGTTAATCTGCTTCATGAGGTAACTCTGATGTGACATATGGGACAAATCGAGGAATCAGGGGGCCAGGATCAAAAGGGAATATATTGGTACTTGATAGAGCCAGTGTGGGGACTCAATATGAAGATTGAATTAGATCCAAATTAGACTTTTCTGGAAGAGATCAATTGGTGATAATATTTCTTGAAACCGTGTTGCACAATAAACAATTGAAAGACCAGGGCATGTCTGAGCCTGAGAAAAGGAGATATGACAGCCATAGTAAAACATTAGAAGGATGCTAAATAAAGAAGAGACTGAACTTGTTTTTGTGCACATAGAAATTAAGACTTGCTGGGCATGGTGGCTCATGCCTGTAATCCAAACAATTTGGCAGGCCGAGGCAGGCAGATCACTTGAGGTCAGGAGTTCGAGACCAGCCTGGCCAACATGGTGAAACCCTGTCTCTACTAAAAATACAAAAGTTAGCTGGGCATGGTGGCATGTGCCTGTAATCTCAGCTACTTGGGAGGCTGAAGCAGGAGAATCACTTGAACTGGGATGCAGAGGTTGCATTGAGCCAAGATCACGCCACTGCACTGCAGCCTGGGCAACAAGTGAGACTCCATCTCAAAAAAAAAGAAAGAAATTAAGACTTGAGCTCATGGATGGAAACTTAGAGGCAGACATGTTTTTTAGTCCAATATAAGGAAGAATTTTTGAATGGGCAGTATTCTTTGAATAATAAATCCAGATGACCTTTAAGTTGCTTATAAAAAGAATATAGCCACAAACCAAGGCTGTGTCTGGATGACCCTAAGCCCTGTGATTTTGTCATTCTAGTCTACTTACATAGGGTTTCACATATTGTTTCATGGAAGGGTTTTATAATCGTATGAGCCTAGACATGCAGTTCTCATGTTATATCACAAGGAAGTTTTTGTATCACAGCTTTTCAGTTCAGCCAATTTACATTTTCTTGCACTTGTTTATCATAAACTTCCTTTTAGGAGAGTTTCAGCAGATCATAATGACCCAGAGAAAGAAACAACAGAAACCCAACCAACCAAAGGCTCTGCACTGCCACGTAGTGCCTATGCCTATCATAGGAACCAGAGATAAATGATGATCTACAGGAGATCTTCAATTTTGCTCATGTACCTCCTAAAACAATATTTTAAAACTCTATATGTACTTACTGACACCTAAAAATTTTTACCACAGACTTAAGTAATTGTAAAAATACAATGCAGGCAAATAGAAGATAATATTTTAAAATTAGACTATTTGGGGGCTGGATTTTGAGATTAGTGGAATAAGGATGTAAAAAGTCCTTTTCTCCCAAAACAATGACAAAACTCAAAAAAAGTTGTTGAAAACAACCATTTAAGGACTCTGTAAATTGACCATAGGTCTTACCTAAGAACTAAAATGATAAATCTTGAAGAAATCATAGGAGACCATCTTTGTGACATTGAGTCAGGGAGAGAGATTCCTTAAATAAGATGTAAAAATCATGAACCATAAAAGAATAATTAGTAAAACAGATTTTGTCAAAATTAAAACTTTGCTCTTCAAAATTCATGGCTAGGAAAAAAGGCCAGCCACACCTTGGAAAAAATATTTGCCAAACATACCTGATAATGGGCTTGTATTCAGAGTATATGGGGAATTCTAATAATGCAAATACAAACCAAGGTAAAATGCCAGTGGGCAAAAGAATTTGAACAGGCTCTTCATAAAACTCAATACATGAGTTTTCAATAAGCCCAAGAGAAGATACTTAGCATCATTAGTCATCAAGGAAATGCAAATTAAGACCAAAATGAGATACCACTACATGTCTATTAGAATGGTTAAAGTCAAAAAGACTGTCAGTGCCAAATACTGGTGAGAATATGAAGCAACTGGAACTCTCATCAGTTTCTGGTGGGAATTCAAAATGATAAAACCACTTTGGAAAACAATATGGCACTATCTTATAAAGCTAAACATATATTTAGTGTATGACCTAGCAATACTACTTGTAGGTTCCTACGTAAGGGACATTAAGGCATACATTCTCACAATGATTTGAACACAAATCCTCATTGTAGCATTATTCATTATATCTAGAACAGGAAACAAGTCAAATTCATCAATTGGGGAATATACAAAGGCACAGTGGCATATTACTCAAAGGAACACTATAATATGGCTGAATCCAAAAGCATCATGCTAAGTTAAAAAGGAAAACGTTATGCTCTTACCTACTGTATGAATCCATCTATGTGAGATCCAAGAAACTGCAAAATTGTAGTGAGCTAAAGCAGACCAATCTGTTCCTAGGGATCAGGCAAGGAGATTGACTGCAGAGGGTGGGAGGATGGAACTGTTCTCTATATTAATTTTAGTGGAAGATACATTGCTGTACACAATTACTAAAGTTCTCAAGCTGCATACTTAAAATATGTAAATTTTATTATATGTAAGTTAAAACTCAAATCTCAACAAACCATTCTTCAACAATATGAAATATGCATTTTTTAATTTCTCTCCAAATTGTATTTTTGTTCCATTACCCCGACATAATTTTGTCATTATGTAAAGTATATTTGTGCTAGGAGATCTTCTACTTATCACCATAACTCATTTCTCTGCAACTCAAATGTGAATATGAATAGAAATATAGGTGTCTATTAATATTACTGCTACATAAGCCTCTAAGTGTTAGTTTTTCTTTCTCAAATGAGGTATTTCTATAATTACAAGTAGTAACCAATAAATGCACAGTTGATCCAATAAGTATACACATCTTTCAAATTTTGATAAATAATTATCTAAACTTAATAAGTAAACATATCTCTTAATGAGTTGGGTTGGGATGATTAATCATTCTTGGATTTAAAAAGGCTTCTCCTGTTACCAGTATTTCAAATGTTCTATTTGTTTGCTGCTCCAGAGGTTATATGCCTCAGGACAATGCATCTGAGTTGAAAGATTCTGGGCATGTGTGAGAGGAACCTTTTGAAGTGTGATTGTGTAAGAAATAGGAAAGGAAATCCACCACGATGCCATCATCCCAACCATAATCTCAGGCATATCAGTTTTAGAAAAGAGTACATTTGGATATTGTCCATCTGGAAAATGATTCTTTAAAAACTCTCAGTGTCTACCTTCTCATCCTTCCTTCCTGAGTTTGAAAACAACTGGTCCAGGGTGGTGATTATCAATCCTAACTACTTTTAAAGTGTACTTTTAAAATATACCCATACTCCTGAGATGAGAATCTGAGGAAGGGCATCTGGCATCCATAGCTTTTTAAAGCTTCGCAGGTTACTCTAATGTGTAGCGGCCATGATTGAACATTCTCTGCTCTAGGACGTGTTTTGGGAGACTCACTTTTTATTTTGAAGAATGACTGGCTAGAATTAATTTCAGCTTCATGAGTTTTCCAGAGAAGAAAATTGTAACTAACAAAACCCAGAGTCTCATCTAATGAATTAGTTTCACATCTTCAAAAGAAATAAAAGAAAAACATAAAATGGGAAAGAAGAGAAAAACTGATTATTTCAGCTATTTGTAAAACTTAAAAATAATACTTAAAATATCCATAATACAAAAACATAATCAGGATCTTCTCATACAAATCTTTTTTGTTTCCTATTTCTAGGGATTTGAAAGTTAAAAAACAACTTCATTTTAGCATAGTCAAAGATTAAGCAGGGTAATTCATAGTTTTAAATGACATATTCCCTTTCTGATTAAATACTTGCTAAAATAAGGACTCATATCTAAATAAACTGAGGTTTTGTTCTCTTCCATTTTGCTTCCTGTTCAAATTTATTCAAGAAATTTTTTTAAAAGAACCTATTCTTGTCACAAAAGCTTTGCTAGAAATTAACAAAGTTCGCTACTTAGAAACATTTGCTAGCAGTATCTATGTCAAAATTTAAACTTACTAATATCATTAGATTTTGCCATTGTGTAGGTGTTATATGCTTCTCTAGGGATCACCTAGAACTGTAAGAATTTTAAAGTCAATCTGGTGGCAGATTCTAATTTTAAGATCCTCAACATGTAGAAAGGGAAATGTTTCTGTGATATCAAGGAATATTTCTCCAAACAGATGGATTTGCTATGATGATTTGGAGTAATCTTCAGCAGAGCACACGGTGAGTGTTAGAGGGGAAGAAGTTACTATTTATGAAGCTGCAGCTTTCTTTGAAATTGTAAGTAGAAAGTTCAGGAAACTTTATCTTTTATAATAATATCTTTTGGTATCCTGAGAAAGCTGTAATGTGTGCTGCTTAGCAATTCAACCCCATCAATTATCCTTTTTTGTCTATTAAACAGGAAATAAAAATAGTTTACTATAGACTTGGTTTGATAATTATGTTTCCCATCTTTGTATCTGTGCATCCACATTTTAAAATTTCTGTAGAATGTTTCTATCAATACTTTGCCCACCCTCTTAACTATTAATTGAATTTGTTATCTATGTAATACTCACATTTTCACCTGTCATGCACTGAATTATTCTTTTTCCTTCTTTTTCAATTTGCTGTCTAAATTTTCCACATATCTGAACTCTTAATCTGTGTAAATTAAGTTATACACTCTCTCCTTCCCTTCCCTTTTATAAGTACCTTCTGTGTTTGCCTTAAAAATAACTAGCAACGCTGTGTAGTCAGAACTGCTAAATTGTTCATGTCAACATAATTTATGTCCCTCCATGTTAAAATTAGTATTCAAAATTACCTGCATGGTAATTAAGAATACATATTATTGCAATTAGTATAGGACTCTTGCAAATAGTATAATATTACTTTGACATGGACAAACCTAATTTTGATTTTTTTTATTATTTTACAACGTTATTTCTCTAATATATTTATTTTTGGTAACGTTGAGTGTTCTCTCTGACTTGATGTACCATTTATAATAATCTTTGGGATCCATCCCCGAACACATATGTTAAAAAGTAAAGGACCTCACCTTAATTTTCTCTACCTAGAGCCCTCTTGCTCAGCATTTCTCCAATTCTCCTGTATAGTTCTCATTTCCTGAATCCTTTTCTCACCTGTGGGATTTTTGAGCAATTATCCTGTATGCTACCTTTCCTGTGGAGTTCCAGTTGCCAAGAGGGTTAAAAGCAATCACCTGTTAGCAGAGGCTACAACTCTGGAAATGACTGGCAGAGGAAGGAAAGATGGATCCAGCCCTGAAGGAGAGATGCAAGCAATACCTGCTCTAGACAAGGAAGTAGAGGGAGCAAAAGAGAAAAATTAGGGTGAGGGGAGAGTGATGTAAGGAGAGGAAGGGGCCATCTCAAGCCATCCTCATTGACAACTCTGACCTATTTCTCAGATTTGATTCTAGAGCCAGCTATACCTATAGTGGAATTTCAGAAACAACCATATTTGAGAGATATTTTCTGGGCACATTTTGTTTGCCAAGTGCTGTTGACCCTTAGATGATGCAAAGATTAAGGGCACTGACACCCATGCAATTGGAAATCCATATGTAACTTTTGACTCCCCAAAAATTTAACTACTAATAGCCCACTGTTGACCAAAAGCCTTACTGATAACGTCAACTGAAGATTAACACATATTCTGTATGTTATACACACTATGTATACTGTAGTCTTATAATGAGGTAAGCTAGAGAAAAGAAGATGTTATTAAGAAAATCCTAAGGCAGAGAAAATGTATTCACTTTTCATTAAGTAGAATAGGATTATCAAAAGGCCTTCATCCTTGTTATCTTCTCATTGAGCTGAGGAGAAGAAGGGGTTGGTCTTGCTGGATCAGGGGAAGGAGAGCTGAAAGAAAATCTGTGTATAAGTGGATCTGTCCAGTTCAAAACCATGTTGTTCAAGAGTCAACTGTGATAAATATTTGGGATGAGCAGTGACTTAAATATTGTTCCCACTCTTAAAATCAGGTGACAAGGGAGAGAAAGAGACTTAAAAGAATAACTAAATGTGATTAGTGTCAAAATGGGGGAAATATATTTGTGCTATGAGAACAAATTTGAGAGAAGGAGATCTAAGGCTTCTGGGTTTAAGGATGGTACCTCGAGGAAATAATATTTCCCCTGAGATGTGAAGTACAAATGGAAATTAGCCAGGTGAAATAGTGAGGGTGTGTGTTAGGGAGGATGCTGGAGAGGAGTGTGATTGCAGCAGAGTTAAGAGCACACCAAGACCTGAATTTTCCAAAGCAAGCATGGACGGAGGAGGAGAAGTCTACATTGTATTCCTCCTGTCTTTCTTGTCTCGCTGGATTTCTTCCTTTCAGGAAAGCACATTAAATCTTATTTTCCTGCTGATAATGCTCGAAGTTGCTAAAACAATAGATAAGCTATTGGGAGATAAAAGACTAAAATGGAAATATCTAGGAAAGTTTGTGCTGGCATTACTGGATTTAGTCAATGTATAACTTATAGTGGAAGATTTTTTTCCTATCCTAATGCAGTGTATAACAAATAGGAAGTCACCTAATGCCCCAATTCAGACAAACAGAAGTGGGGCGAAGGGCACGTTTAACTTATTCTTGTACTGAAATGCATTTTAAAAGCTATTTAAAAATGAAAAAGTCCTGCCTTTTTATAGGATATGAGATATCAGTAAGAAAGAATATTTAGTTCTTTAGAGAAATGATTTTCAAAAACACTAGAATTAAAAGGATTGGGGTAGAGAGAAAGAGAGATAGAGAACTGATTTCTTCACTGCAGAGTTTTTCAGAGCTTTAGTGTGCCAAAAGCTTTGTGAATCCCTCCGTGGAAATGACTGGGCCCCCTTTTCCAGTGTTTTGTACACTAAGAAGCACCTTTTCCCCCACCTCAATGTTTGACTGTATTAGGAATCATTTTAACTTAACATTTGATCAGTGTGTGCATTTCTGTAAAATCTTGCAGTTCCCCTTTGAAATGCAAATCATTTCATTGTGCAAATGTTCTAGGAATAGAGAATGAACTTCCAGTCTACTTGGTCCTTTTAAGATTGTGGGTGACTTCTTGTTTTTTAAGAAATATCAGGATGAGACAGTGTTCTGAATGAAAACATGTATGTTTTGATTAATATTGTAATGCAGCCACAAAAAAGAATGAGTTCATGTCCTTTGCAGGGACATGGAAGAAGCTGGAAACCATCATTCTCAGCAAACTAACACAGGAATAGAAAACCAAGTGCTGCATGTTCTCATTCATAAGTAGGAGTTGAACAATGAGAACACAGGGAGGGGAACATCATACACTGGGGCCTGTCAGGGGCTGGTGGGCAAAGGGAGGGAGAGCATTAGGACAAATACCTAATGCATGCAGGGCTTAAAACCTACATGAAGAGTTGATAGGTGCAGCAAACCACCATGGCACATGTATACCTATGTAACAAACCTGCATGTTCTGCACATGTATCCCAGAACTTAAAGTACACACACACACACACACAAAGCTTCCAAATGCAACAATCATTTCTCTTGCAATTTTGTTATAATTCTTGGTATAGTATACTACGTATAACCCAAAAAACCTTTAGAATAGTATATTATAAAGTTTTACCCAAAATGTTCAGCAAATAAATTAGGTTTATTTGCCCCCAGCATTTTTATGAGAACAAGTGTTTTATTTTCCAGTGTCAAGGCACTGCAGTAACATCTGTTTGGTATAAATAAAACCTGCCAGGTAGTAAGGAGTATCTCATGATGCCTCATTCACCCATTAGTAGGGAATATTAAGCAAATTTGGAATTAATCATGTGGATCCATTTACTTTAATGAGAAACACATTGATGGGTTTCCCCTATTAAATTCTGGCACAAACTATTTTGGGCAATGAGATAATTCAATTCGTGTGGTTGTTAATGAGAAACCGTCCCCACTGAAGATTTAATTTAGGAGAAGAGAGCTTTCTGACAATCTAGTCATGGTAGTTTTGCAGATCTCAGCTCCTAGAATCCGAAGTGAATGTGAAAGAGCAAGCTAAGAATCAGGAGTAGTGTCAACATTCCTTTCCTCCTTCCTCCTTCCTCCTTTTGTTAGCTAAAGAGCTCTCATCCTTAAGTAGATTTACATATACACCTTAACTCTGATTTAAAAAGTATTTTTGGATATTATATTTTCCAAATGTTTCTGACAATGTTTCTCATGTCAACATAGTTTTGGATATTTTAAAGAGGAAACAGCATATTTATTAAAGGGCAGGTTTTACAGATTGAACTGTATTTCTCCCTCCCTCAGCAATATGTTGAAGCCCAAATCCCAGTAGCTTCAAATATAACCTTATTTAGAACATATGATCTTTACAGAGGTAATCAAGTTAAAATGAGATCATTATGTTGAACCACAATCCAATATAACTGGTGCCCTTAAAAAAAGGGAAAATTTGGAGGCAGAGACAGCACAGAGGGAAGGTGATGTGGAGATACAGGGAGAAGAGGGCCACACTACTGGAATGATGCTTTTACATCTCAAGGGACTCCAAGTATTACCTGCAAACACCAGAAGCTAAAAGAGGTGAGAAAAGACATGGTGCTGCCAACACTTTGATTTCAGATTTCTGGCCTCCAGAATTGTCAGGCAATAAGTTTCTTTTGTTTTAAGCCACCCAAGTCTTGATATTTTGTTACAGCAACCCTAGAAAATAAATACAGCAGCCTGTGGTTGAAGGCACAGCCGTCAGATTCCAAGAAGTTCGCTTTTAATCCTTGCCCGCTGTTTCCAAGCAGGTGACTCTCTGGCTCTGGGGAAGTCTTTCTGTATTTTATTTTCCTGATCTGTAAACTAAGGGATGATATTTTCAACACCAGGTGTTGAGAGGAATATACAATTAGTACATGTAAAATACTTGACACAGTCTCCTGTATGAAGTAATAATAAACATTGCTTGCTGTTATTAAATAGTTTAATCTATGATTTTTATAATAAAATGTGTATTACATAAAGTAAAATTTTGGTGATTATAGATTTCACGTTGAGTCTTTAACTGTTCCCAGGTGACCCTAAGGTTTCATGACACATACTAACCTATAATTTGAAGGTGGGGGCATGCAAATTTGAATTAAACTTACTGCAAAACTGATGTATGGGATGAGTTACTCAGTTTATGTATTATTTTAGTCACATACTAATAGAAATTTTAAGGCTCTAAAAGCACAAAAAAATCATATGTTCTAGTTTATCACAATGTTTTGCAGATATTATCTGCTACAAATGTATTCACAGATTTGAGGGTTCATGAAGGTCTTGGCAAATATTCCTTTAAAACTATTAAGGAACCAATAAATACTGATGGTTCTACTAGCAGCAAACATGAATTCCCCAGACACTGAAAGTCAGTTTTCTAAACATTTAAAAAATATATATTTTATTTGTGTTCCCATGATTCAACTTCATTCTATAAAGTGTTTTACTTTTCGGGTTGGCTAGATTGTGATAGCTAAAAAGTGGAATCACTGGACACCAGTTGAATTTAGGTCACACAAAAGGTCAACACAGGCAGAAGCTCAGCAGGTGTGTGGGTCAGTAGAAAGAGGCCTGGATCGACAATGAGGGTATCATCTTATTGGAAAAGCAAGATCGTGCTCAGTCTCATGTCCAGTGGATCAATACCAAGAATAATTATAAGGAAGGCTTTCTATTCCAATTACAGATCACATCAAGTGACAAACCTAGGATAAGGTTGGATTTTTCTGCATATTTTTCTCGTGATGTAAAGGAATCTTAGCCAAGATTTAGGATGGCAGACTCTGTCATGATTCAGTAATGTTGAAAAACAATCTCTGCATCCACTTGACTGCCCATTCACCACTATCATGCCATGATCATGGAATGCCGCATTGTCTTCATGGGCTTGGAGTTCTCTAGGTAAGATGAATCCCAAAATCTGGCCCAGACATAACACCCTGCATCCTCAGTAGTCCTTGTTTCTACTATTTTTGTTTGTTTGTGTCTTGGTCTGTTAAGGTTGCTCTAACAAACTGCCCAGACTGAGTGGCTTGAAAAATAAACACTTATTTCTCCCACTTCGGGATGTTGAAGTCCAAGATCAGGGTGCCAGCATGGTGAGGGCCCTCTTTCAGGCTGCAGATTGCTGACTTCTGCTATATCCTCACATGGCAGAAAGACAGGGATAGAGCTCTCTGGGGTCCCTTTATAAGGGCACCAATCCCATTCATGAAGGCTCTACCCTATGGCTTAATTACCTTCCAAAGGCCCCGTGTCCTAATTCTATCACATTGGTGGTTAGAATTGCAACACATAAATTTGGGGGAAGGGGACACAAGCTTTTAGTTCTTTGCTGAAGATTCCACATTCTTTGTGATCTGAGTCTTAAGATTATTTTTTCTTTACTTTCTTTTACTACTACTCAGTTGCTTTGTTTACCATAGCTTTTCCAAAGCTCGACATTTTTTGTTTTCAAAATTAGTCTTCAGCAAATTGCTTGGCTTCTATATGCTCTAAAGAAAAGAATTTTTTCCTTATTTTGAAAGCAATTCAAGTTAATGATATAAAATATAATATAGGAAAAGCAAAGTCAAATTAAAATTACACATAATACTCTGTTGATAGTGTTTTGGTGTGTTTACTTCCAGTTATTTTCAGGTATTTTAAAAATCAAAATCGGAATCAAATTATGTATGCACACATACATATATAGTTGTGCATACATAGTATATATAGTATGTGTACATATATGATATGTATATGTCAGTTGTATTCTGCTTTCATTTAGGATGATTTTAATAGCACACAACTTTCATTGCTTTATAAATTGTCTTTTAATATATCTGTCACATTCTCTTTGTTCCTTTTATTGTTTTGGAGAGTGTTTTTTCTCTGCTGACTTGGAAGTTGTAGATCTGTTTTTAGTTTTCATTAAATATTTTTAGCAATATTTAATGTTTATCTCTCAGTTTTAACATTAAAAATAAAATATGGCCAGGTATGGTGGTTCACACCTGTAGTCCCAGAGGCTGAGGGGGAAGGATCTTTTCAAAACCAGGAGTTCGAGCCCAGCTTCGGCAACATGGTGAGACCCATCTCCACAGGAAAAAAAAAAAAAAAAAAAGAATAAAAAAGAAAAAGAAAACAGAAGAAAATTTTCCAGGCATGGCAGAGTGTACCTGTAGTACCCAGGCTGAGTTGGGAGGATCACTTGAGCCCAGAGGGTGGAGACTGCAGTGAGAGACATTTTCACCTGCACTCCAGCCTAGGCTACAAAGTGAGACCTTGTCTCAAAAAATAAAAAATAAAATACTGTTGGCACTTACATCTGTAAAAAGAAAAAAACAGCATATTTCTTTTGTCCCTCTGCATTCTGATTTCCTCTACATTCTAATTTCCTCTACATTCTAATATTTATTAAGAAAAGATATTTTAGGCTCAAATTTTTTAAATTATCGTTTGAATTTTATATTACACTTTTTGCCTTTCAAGAATAATTTTTGACTTTTATCTTGTTTTGTAATTATATTTACAATGGTTATATAAGCATCTGTCTTTAATTTTATTTTAATTCTTGTAAACTCTAATATCTTGTCTTTTCATTCTGAAATTCTGGATTCTGAATTGAGGGTGAGAACCACTGCCTGTGGAGAAAGCCAGCCTGATTTCTGATCTCTTCATTTGTTTCAGTAAAATTTCAAATATCTGTAAGAATATTTCTGGATAGTGTATTCTCTAAGGTCTTGTACATATTAGAATAATTGTATGTAGTCTTCAAATATGAGAATTTTTCTAGGCATAAAATTTACAGTATTTTTCCTCAAAACTCCGCAGCTTGACTTGTCGTTCAGAGTGACTGACTGATCTTATGTATTTGTCACTTCTTCCCCAAACACCATGGGAATGAGAAAACGAATGTAAAAATCAAATCAAGTCTGTAGTGATGAGAAATTAGAAAGCATATTATTCATAGGCAGAACATTAAGAAATTTCTGGAAATTTCTAGCAGAAACAATGATACCAACAATGACACAGAACAGAATTGGGAAACCTGCAGCTTCAAATAGACAACCCACAAAAGTCTCCAGCAGAACCCGAAAGTGAATTTAAAATCAAAGTCTGCTCATGTGGGCAAAGGGCTGAGTGGTGGATGGTCACTGTATAAGCAAATATATATCGAGTTCCTAGATATAGCAGCCAACTAGGACAAAATGCCTGACCTTGTGAAATTACATGTAAATAGTAATTAATTGAAAGCCAGCAGCATCATTCTGCCATGCTTCTGTGTGCCTAGAAGCCACCAGATATATTTACCCCTGGCAAATGCTTAAAATACAACCCTAAATAAAGTGAGAGTCACTGCCTCAGGAGAATGCCTGCTTCACTTCCAGGTCAAGAAAACATCTCAGAGTGGTGACCCGGGGATTCTGCTAGCTTTGTTTCTCAGCTGCCTCTCCCCTGGTGACCTTCTGTTTCTGATTCATAGTCTGTGTTAAAGGTCACTAATTCAAATATCCATGGAGTGAGGTAGATATTTCAGAGAAGAGACAAGGACTGGGGGCTGTGGCAAACAGAATACATGCTTAGCCACAAGGATACAGCTCCCCCTCAGCTCCAGCTAAATATTACCATATAGGAATGCTAACCCATCTTTGATCATTTTTTCCAAAAGAAGATGGGAATTTGATTTTTATATGGAGGCTTTCCAATATTATACTGTTGTAATTAATTCTATTTGGGGAGGGGACACTGTATGGATGAAAGAAAATACACCCGAGATCAGAATGTTGTCATTTGGCAGCCAGTTTGTAACTTCTACATGAGCACGCTGTGAAACAGGCTGCCACAATATTTAAAACTCTGTTTATAATTCATGCAGCAGACCATTACTGACTATCTGATCTTCTGCAACACAGCAGCCAGTTTGCAACCTCTATGCTAGCGCTCTGTGGAATTAACAGTCAACAGTTATCAAAAGTTCACTGGAGTTTATGCAATTTAAATAGCACCACTGATTTTATCTGCTTTCCTGCCACACCACAATTTTACATGAGTTTAAAAGACAATCATGGCTTGTTCCGTAGTGTGTCAGTTATCTATTGTAATATAATTTTCCATGCTCCCCCTCAAAAAACAACAGTGGTTTAAAACAACAAGAAATTATTATTTCTCATGATTCTGAGGGCTGGCTGGGGCTCAGCTGGGTGATTCTTCTGCTTATCTTGCCAAAGCTTGACTGTGAGCCTGCTTTCAGCAGGATGCTCAGCTGGCACTGAAGCATATAAGGTAGCTTAAGGTCTCATTTCATATGGCACTCTCTCCTGCAAGGTAGATATGGTTATTACTTACCTGGTGGCTTGCTTCCGAGAAAGAGAGAGAGGAAGCAGAAGCTGCTAGTCTTCTAAAGGCTTCAGATGAGAAGTTTTAGAATGTTACATTTTATTAGTCAAAGCAAGTAAGAAATCCAGCATTGGGTCAGGGGAAGGAAAAGATATTCCAAATCTTGATGGACAAAGTTGCCTGTTTGTCAAGGGAGAAAAAAGAATTGAAGGTGTATATCTTTGAACACTAGTTATCTCAGCCTATCCTCTGGCCACAACAATTCACATCTCTCCTTTTTGCAAAATGTACTCTTCTTTCCTTTTCAAAATCTCATTCCTATTGACTCAAAGGCCAGAATCTTGTCATCACAGTCAGAACCGAATAACTTGTTCCTTTAATGTTGACAAATACTCAACCATTATCTCTTGAATATTGCCTCATCCCAAATTGTTCTGTTTTTGTTTTTCTTTTGTTAATATATGTAGCAATTTTTACACTATTACTGTATCTACCCTCCTAATTTTCTTATATTTTTCATTTCCTTTCTTCTTTTTGGGGTGTGATGCCTAAAATCAACCTCCCTAATATTAACTTTTGCAGCTGAAAGTGCAGTTCAGACTGGTAGTATTGGCAACTCCTGGAGGCTTACTAGACATGTAGATTTTCAGTACTAACTTCAGACCTAGTGAATAACAATCTACATTTTTAACAAGATCCCTCGGTTATTTGTTTGCATAGTAAAGTTTGGGAAGCCCTGGCCTAGGTCATTTTTTCTCTGTTGACTGTAACTAATTTGCTATTTGACCAATCCTTTAAATGTGTTATTTAATAGCATTTTTATTGCTAGAAGTATTTGCAGTTATCTTAAAAAAAAATTTCCATGTCAATCTACAACATCATGGTTTGCAATCCTTATCGAATGAACTAGTGTATGGTTTGAAAATCTCTCTTGAGATTTTGATACGACCCTCTAACTCCTGTGGTTCAGACCCACTCCTCGAGGTTCTTATTGAATTGGACACTGGCCTTCAATCCCAACTGTCACGTGTCTGTAACATGGTCATGGCCTATGAACTTGATGTCAGCCAGACCCCTCTGATTTCCCTGGCTGAGTGAGTCTCAGTCTTCAGCTGTTCCCCTACTACATGGCATTATCCAGGAGAGGCAGGGGGATGGGGAACACATCTTCTCTGAACTCATTTTGTGTGAAATGTCATAAATGCACATGTGCATGTGTCTATGTTTGTGTATATATGGATGTTTTGGACTTCTACAAATTACTGACATTGTCAAGTATCCAAATTGATGTTAATAAGAACAAAAAAATAAGCAAACAAACAAAAACAGAAGTCCTAAACTTTCAGCCTTCAGGAATAGATTTAATGTTTAGAAACAATCAAAAGCAATTTGGAATCAAATTGGGTTCATAAGGAAAACATAATTAGATGCATTTTATATTGGATTTCTAAAATTATCCTGAGGGAATTTCAAAAGAGGGCTCCCAAAAATATTTGTTGAATGGCCGCCTTATTTCAATGTGGGTTTATAGCCACCCTGTGTAAGTCAAATGAAAGAACTAATACTATTTTAGAAAATGTTATATGCACTCATATTGTGTGTGTGTGTGTGTGTCTGTGTGTCTGTGTGTCTGTGTGTATTCTTCTCAATAAAACACCAACCTCAATAGGGGACTCAGGAGAAAAGACGAGAGAGGAATCGAAGGAAGAAAGCAATTGATGTTACCATGTGGGAAAAATAAATTTATTTCAAAACAAAACGTTGAAATTGTGAAAATTGTTCATGTAGTCATTTCCTTGAGCAAGTTATTAATTTTTAAAAAAGATGCCAGCAATGTACTGTCAATTGATCATAGTTAATGTGGAGCTGTGTGATTCAACCTGCCTTTTACTATAGGGAGAGTGTCTTGTGCTTAACAGCATCCAAGCTGTCAAAGCCAATGCAAGTAATCTCCGAATCATAGATTTCAATATATTTTTAATTTAGAAAACTAATAGATTGATTTATCTGTTTTTCAACAACTTGAGAAATATGAGCATTCATTTCCTGAAGAAAACTAATGTTCATATTCTTCAAATTTATTTCAATAATATTACCACTGTCTCAATCATAAAACATACAACTCCACCAAAAATTTTTCACTATTTAAAGTAACAGACTTTTGCTAATTATTAAAATCTGCATATCAATAGAACAGCTTTTAATGATTTTCTTCCCAGATGTAACCTAACTAAGCTAATTCAAAGGCACCTAGTGGGTCCCCATGGTTTTGTTAGGTAATTTGGGTAGGCATGTAAGCATAGGCCTCCAGAACACTGAATATGATTCTTGATGTTAAAAAGTAAATTGTGTTTTGGTTTTTTTCAAAAATATTATTTTATGTGACCGGAAGAGCCTGACTTAGGAATCATGTCTAGATGACAAAAGATTTGGCCTCAAAACCTAAATCTATTGTCAGCAACTAATGGTTGCTAAACAGAACTAACATTCATTAAATAGTTTTGTGTGCCAAGCAGTGCACGTAGGTAGCTTATCTAATTTTTAGGTAACTTTCTGAAGTAGGAGTCCACATTTTACAAATATGGAATTTGAAGATGAGAGATCAGAAAGTTAGCCAGGATTCCGGTAGGGTCATGGCAACAACTCAATTTCTACTACTTCCTACTGTTTATTACAAATAAAAGAAGTGGAAGAGAAATAAAACCTATAAACTCAATCTCCATGGAAGCTAAGAGTAAAAGGCAAACTGTAAACCCCAAACTTTATGTAAGTGTGGCCAAAACACCAAAACCAATAAGAATGGGCTCAACCTTCAATGCTAGAGGACAGTGGAGCAATACTGAGATACTCAAAAAAGCATGAACCAAGGATTTTATATTTCACCAAGCTGTCCTTTAAATATAAGGATTATAAGTAAACAATTTGAAATATGCAAGAATGAAGGAAATATTCCCCATAAGTATTTATATGAGAAACTTATTAGTGCATGAGCTTCATTTATCAAAAGATAATTAGTAAAATATTAGTAAAAAATATTAAGGATAAGTTTAGAATATATTTAACTGTAAACTAAAACTAAACAAAAGTGGTAATTACCAAAAGGAAGCAGATATTATAATTTTAATCTTAGACCAGTCAGTCAAGCCAAAAAAAAAAATTCAGCAAGAGAAACCATGGTACTTTGTAATGCTAAACATTAAATTCACATTAAAAATATGAGGTTTGTTAATGTAAATGACAAGTTAATGGGTGCAGCACACCAACATGGCACATGTATACGTATGTAACAAACTTGCACGTTGTGCACATGTACCCTAAAACTTAAAGTATAATAAAAAAAAATGAGGTTTGTGAGCAAATATTCTTCTTATACCACAGCTTTCATAAAGCAGAAGTAATGGATGCAAGGAGAGCTGTACATAAATACAATAATAGAAACTTATACTTCTAAGATTAGAGTACCAAAATATCAGTAAGGATATAGAACTCTTGGACAATTCAGTTTAAGAGTAATATACATATACATACATATATATATAAAATTATAATGTTCAAGTGTCCATGGAACAATCACAACAATTTACCAGAAATCCCTGACTATATTTCAAAAATTAGAAATAGCATAGATATCACCCTCTGATCACAGTGCAATAAAACCAGAAATTAGTAACAAAATTATAAAACTCAAAGCCCCCTACCTATACATTCAAAAATAGTTTTTATTAAACAATGTCAGAATGAAAGAGAAATATAAGCTGAAATTGTAACCTTTCTAGAAAATTAACAATTAAAATTGTACTTTTCCTCAGAGTAAGATGAAGTAGTTTTTGGCAGACCAGTTGTGTCACTGAGAAAAACTAAAAGATATATATGCCACAAATAAAAATCATTTGTTTAGGGGCTTCAAGTTACAGTTGAAACACTAAAGTGTAAAGGGGCAAGATTTTCTGAGAGGGGAGAACCATAGAAAGGTCAGCTGATTGTGAAAGCCTCTTTTGTCATGAGATATTTGCTAATTCTGGGCATGGGCAAGGGATGAAGAATCTGGACTTTGCCTAGCAGAGGCCACTGCTTGGGGATAAAGAAAATAACAGAACTTTTGAGAATTTTTGGTAATAGATTGACCAAATTTGAAAATTGTATGGGCGAGTCTATTGCTTGAGTCTGTCTTCCAGAATTTATGTGTTGGAAGATTTGGTCACCAGTGTGGCAGTGCTGGCAGGTAGCAGGTGATTAGGTTATTAAGAGGAACTAAAATCGCTCTCTTGAGACTGGGTTAAATCTTGAGGGAATGAATGAGTTCTTGCTCTTGTGGGACTGAACTAGTTACTGTGAGAGCAGGTTGTTAGAAGGTGAGACTGCCTCTTGTTCTTTGTCCCTTGTGGCATGTTGCTGCTTCCTCTTCACTTCTTTGCCATATTATGTCACAGCACAAGGTCCCCACCTGAAGTTGGCCAGATGTGGTTGCGTGGTCTTGAATATGCCAGCATCTAGAACCGTGAACCAAAATAAACCCATTTTCTTTATAAATTATCTAGTCTCAGGTATTCTGTTACAGTAACAGAAAACAGGCTAAGACAACGGGATTCAAACACACAGCTGATTTTCCCCTCAAGACTTTGATAAATTCCTAAGTTGCATGAGGCACAAGTATGAGAGCTAAGCTATAACATTGGAAAAACAGAAAAGGGTTTTCATGTGTCTCCTGGAACTGAGAAAGCAAAGTTTAAAAATCAGATGAAAGCCATGGAAAACAAAGGAAAAAAAGGGGGTGTACTCAGCAGCTCAGTCCTGGATTGAATAAGGAGGCCAGCTCCCATTAAGCCTAGAGAAATAAAAATGACCCCTGTGAACAAGAATTATATTATCAAAACCTTTAGAAATTTCTATACATATTGTCTGGCATACAAGAAAAAAATTACTAGGTATGCCAAGAAAGACCATATGACTAAGAAACAAGAGTAAAGTTAAAAAAACAAACAAAAAAAACACCTAAACAAACACAAAGCCCTATAAGAACTAACCACTTCGTAGAAATAGAAGCATGGGCAGTTAGATATGGAAGTGAAGGATTTCAAAAATAATTACAATACAAATATTTAATAAAATGGGTACAAAACTAGAGAAAAATAATGAAAAAGTAAAGACTTTGGAATTTATAAAAGGGATAAAAAGACATTCGGAAACTAAAAAATACTGCATGTAAAATAAGGAACTCAATAGATGAGTTGAACAGCACACATCACAGGAGAGGATTCATGGACTATGAAAACGTCTGTAGAAAATATATAAACTGAAGCAGAGAGAAAAACAACAATAATGGAAATTACAGAAAAGAGCATAAGAAACTTAAAAGAGACAGCAAAGTTCCAGTAAATGTATAATTAGAGTCTCAGGAAAAATGCGAAGGAGAATAGAGAAAAAACACATTTGGAAAAATAATGGCTCTATATTTTCTAAAATTATAAAAACCATGAAACCTAAGTCCATGGAGCACTTCATACACACATAGACACCACTAAAAACAATAATAAAGACAAAGAAATAAATCTTAAAAGGAGCCAGAGAAAAAGATAGGTGTAACAGAGAGAATGAGAGTTTATTGGTTAATAGAAACTACTGAAGCCAGAAGATTATAGAACAACATCTATAAAATACTAAGAGAAAACTGCCAATTTAGAATTCCATACTGTGAAACATCCTTCAAAAATGAAGTTGAACTAAGAACATTTTCAGACAAACAAAAAGAATTATAAAAGCATACTTTCTCAAACAAATACTACAGTGAGAAATTCATGCACACAAAAAATAATGTCAAGCAAAAGAGAAATGCAAGAAGATGAAAATAGGGTGTACATAATAATGTGGATTGATATAATGAATAATGACTTAATAGTAATATCGTGAAATGTAAAACACATTTAAAATGCATGACAACAAAAAAGCAAAAGTTGAAGTAATCTAAGATTCTAGCATTTTGGGGGAGAAATAATGAAGTAATCACTTATATCAGACTATAATAAGTCAAAGAAGTATATTTTAATCTCTAGGGTGACCACTAAAAGAGTAATAATAAAAGAGTATATAGCAAATGCATTAAAACTAAAACAAAATATTTGCTTAATCTAAAAGCAAGAAAAGAGAAATTGCATAAAATAGGTGGGTCAACTAGAAAGAAAATATTAAGATGGAAATAGAAACTGAAATGTAAAATCATTACACTAAAAAGCTCCTTTTTAATTCAAGTAAAAGATTATGGTTTTAACAAATCGATGTAAAAAAAAACTATATGATTCTTACCCAAGAAGTCTGAAAGTTCCAAATAGGAAAACAGAAATGAACATTATGCCAAGACAAATCAAAAGGAAGCTTCATCTACTAGGTAAAGTGAACTTTAAGGCTGGGAGAAATATGAATAATAAAGAGATATGTTATATAATCATAATAAGGTTAATCAGGAAAACATAACATTTTAAATTAGAATGCTTCTATTAATATAGCTTCAAAATAAATACAGCAAATATTGATAGAACTGGGTAAATAGACAGATTCACCTAGCGGCAAATTTAACACATTTCTCTCAATAGGTGATTGAACAAGCAGACAAAAATCAATAAAACTGTAGATGAATTGGACTTGCCTAAGTCAGAGGGGAATAATATATTTCCAGTACATATATCTAGCAAAAGATTTGTATGCATAATATACAATAAAATAATAAATAAATTAGAAAAATCAGAGTACCCAATTGAAAAATGGAAAAATACTTGAACAAAAGATGATATAGCTTATTAGCTATTTACCTTTATTAAGGTAAAAAAAGGTTTAATTTAGGTAGTCATAGAGAAATACAAATTAAAATCACAATATTATGTCACTAAAGACAGGTAATATCAAAATTGCCATTGTTTGCTGGTGGTAATGTAAATTATTAAAACCATTCTGGGGAACTGATTAAAAATGTCCTCATATATTTACCCAAAGAACACATTTAGGTTCAATTACAGCAGCTCTAATGGCCTCAAATTAGGCACTCTTAGACATTGTTGGTGGGGATGCAAAATGATACACTTTATGAAGGAGAATCTGGCAATACCTACTAAAATTATGATGCTATTTACCTTTTTCAATCTATCAGTTCACCTTCTGTGAATCTACTAATTCTCCTGCACATGTTCACAGTAACATATGTAGAATGTAACTTAACACAGTATTATAAGTGTTAAAGAATGGAAACCATCTGAATGTCCATCAATAGGGGAGACATTACATCACCTGTAATGAAACACTTCCACACAGGGGAATACAAAAATATTAGGGAGATCGCTGTATACTGACATAGAGTAATTTATTGTGAAGTTAAAAATGCCAACCTAGGCAACATGGTGAAAATCTGTCTCTACCAAAAACACAGAAAATTAGCTCAATGTGGTGGCCTGCACCTGTAGCCCCAGCTGTTCTAGGGTCTGAGGTGAAAGCATCAGCTGAGCCCAGGAAGTTGAGGCCACAGTGAGCCCTCATTGTGCCACTGCACTCCAGCCTGGGTGAAGGATTGAGACCCTGTCTCGATAAATACATAAATAAAAATAAATATGCAAGGTGTAAAGCAACACATATAGTTTGCCATATGGGTAAAAAGAAGAAACAGGATGTTTTGTTTTAGTTGTATAAGAATGAAATATCACAGGAAGAATAAGAAACGAATAAAAATATTTGCATTTGAAGATGATAGGTTGACTGGGGATGGTGTAGAAGTGAGACTTTTCTGTAACAGATTTTTTCTAATATTTTACTTTAGAAATATGTAGAGGTATTACTTGTAAATAAAACATTGAAAAAGTAAAAGAAATTTGCCCAAGATCACTGATTGGTAAATATCAAAACTGGTCTTCGAGTTCAAATTTGTCTTATTCCAATGAAGACATGAATATTTTTATTTAAGATTTTTCTCACATGAAAGTAATACATGTACATGATGGAAAGTTTGGAAAATAAGAAATGGTAAAAATATACCTGAGATGCTTTCACAGCTGACAATAAATGGTCTTTTTTTTTTTTTTTAAATTGTGGTCTTAAAAGTTAATTTAGTAATGGGACATTTTCTTCAAACTTAATCTTGCAAAGAAGCATAAATTATGTCACATGAAAGTGGAATTGATTTCACATCCCCTCAAAGGGTTCAAAATTCTACATCTCTTTAGTTTAGACCAGTGGTTCTGAAAGTGTGGTTTGCAGACAAGTAGCATTGGCATCACCTGGGAACTTGTTGGAAATGCAAATTATCTGGCCCCAGTCCAGACCTACAGAGACAGAACCTCTGGAGATGAGGCTCTGTGTTTAAGCAAGTCTTCCACGTGACTGATGCTCAGGTTTGAGACCCACTCATGTGCACCATAAAATCCATCTTAAGTTTTACATCATAATGTAATGTTGGTTTTGCTTTTCCTAGATGGAAAAGTCTGTGAGGGAAGGAACCCGCAGTATTTATTTCAGTTATGGGCACCTGGTCTATACCAACTAAATACCTGTTTAATCAGCCCATATTTGGACAAGATGATCTATCATCAAGGCATGCTAGATAGAAAAATTTAAGTATTGGTTGTATTTATGAATAAGTGACATTTCCAAGGATACTGGTAAAAAGGAAAGACAGAAGTCTGAGGAGCAAGCACCTGGCAAACTCTTCATTAAAGAAAATATAGTAAGACCTAGTACTTGATAGCACAGAGGGTAACTATAGTCAATAATAATTTAATTGTATATTTAAAAATAACTAAATGAGTATAACTGGATTATTTGTAACACAAAGGATAAATGCTTGAGGGGGATGGATACCTCGTTTTTACCATGATGTGATTATTACACATTGTATGCCTGTATCAAAGTATCTCATGTACCCCATAAATACATACACCTATTATATACCCACAAAAATTAAAAATTAAAAATATATTCTTATGGGGTCTTTGAAAGTTATAGAAAAATTTAGAAAGGTAGAAGCATTAAACTCATACTCCTTGTTTGGAGAATGTGCAAGTAACTTTCAGAGTTAGAAATTAGCCTTCTAAACGAAGGCTTACAAATACTGCTCTGCACCTGGGACAACCTGGATGTCAAGATTGGGTTTCTTCCCTTCCTCCCTCCATCCTTCCTTCCTTTCCTTCCTTCCCAGTTCCCTCCCTCTCTCTGTCCCTGTCTTCCCACTTCCCTTTTTGCTTTTTCCATGTTTCTTTTCCTTCTCTTTCAACAATTTGCTTGTTAAGTTAAAAAACTAGTTATTTAACTTAGATTTCCTGTTTGAATAAGCAGGTTGGTCATAAATGGCCCCTAAGGGGCATTTCATCTTAAACAGTCTGTCTCTAGTCTCTCACCAGTTTTAAGAAATTCAAGGCTTTAAATATAAATACTGTATGATCTCCCTTATATGTGGAATTTTAAAAAGTCAAATTCATAGAAGCAGAGAGTAGAATGGTGATTTCCAGGGGCTGGGAGGTGGGGGAGATGAGTAAATGTTGGTCAGGGGATACAAATTTTCAGTTATAAAATGAATAAGTTCTGGAACTCTAATGTATAGCGTGATGAGCATAGTTAATAATAGTGTATTGCTAACTTGAAATTTGCTAAGAGAGTAGATCTTGAGTACTCTTACCACAAAAGAAAAGTCCAACTACTTAGGAGGCTGAGGTGGAAGGATTCCTTGAGACCAGGAGGTCAAGGCAGCAGTAAGCTGAGATGGCACCACTGCATTCCAGCATGGGCGACAGAGTGAGACCCTGTCTCAAACAAAACAAAACAAAAATTAAAGAGGGTAACTATGTGAGGTGATGGATGTGTTAATGAACTGGCTTGTGGTAATCATTTCACATTGTGTGTATACATAAACACATTGTACACCTTAAATATACACAATGTTTGTCAGTTATGCCTCAATAAAGCTGAAAAAGAAATCCAAGCATTTCTAAGAACAAAAATTTTATGATTTCTAGAGTGAGTCAACATTTGATGATACTAGTAAATGTAGTGTCTGTGGAACAGAGGGTCAAGAAACATGATGAGAAATGATCATTATGAGCATTTATGTTTTCAAGGTGCTGGAGGCTCAGTTAGACTCCCACTGGCACCCTTGTTTCCTTATTAGAGGAAGAAATGATGCAGAGTAAATTGGACATACAGTATAAGACATTTGAGAAAGTAAGTTATAAATTGAAAACTTGTTAATTCTGAACAAATGACACTAAGTTTGAGAAATATTTAATAGAGATATACACATACATAATTTGCCAAGAGAAACCCAGAATATGTGTGTGTATATATATATATATATATATATATATATATATATGTATATATATATGAAAAACGTAAATTTATTTATAACATCTAAATTGGTCAGCTATTTAATTTCATATCTTTCTTTGATAGGAACAAGTAAATGTGTTGGACATACATATACATATATGTGTGTGTATATGTGTGTATATATTTTTATATTTTATTTTGCTTTAAGTTCTGGGATACATGTGCAGAACTTGCAGGTTTGTTACACAGGTATACATGTCCCATGGTGTTTTGCTGCACCTATCAACCCATCATCTAGGTTTTAAGCCCTGCATGCTTTAGGTATTTGTTCTAATGCTCTACCTCCCCTTCCTCCCATCTCCCAACAGGCCCTGGTGTGTGATGTTCCCCTCCCTGTGCCCATATGTTCTCATTGTTCAACTCCCACTTATGAGTGAGAACGTGAGGTGTTTGGTTTTCTGTTCCTGTGTTAGTTTGCTGAGAATGATGGCTTCTAGCTTCTCTTCTGATTTCTCTTGGTAAATTAAGGAGGCTAAGGGTCTGGATGAATGGTAGAAGAGAGGGAAGAAGAGTTGTCAGAAAGGAAATGAGAGAGAGGGAACGTTTTGGAATAGACTATGGCAGCCTTGTACTCAGTTCCTAGTAAACACCCATGACAAAATAACTCAGAAGTTCCCACTTGAAGGCACTCAGATTCTGCATTCAGCAGCTACTGACGGCCCTTCA
The DNA here is from genome assembly GCF_000001405.40 of Homo sapiens. Classification (NCBI taxonomy): domain Eukaryota; kingdom Metazoa; phylum Chordata; class Mammalia; order Primates; family Hominidae; genus Homo; species Homo sapiens. The sequence goes on along the minus strand of NC_000018.10, from coordinate 53,699,134 downwards.
TTACATTCCCCAGGGGAAGCAGGGCACCATCTGGTGGCAAGAGATGATTTCTTTCATCCTGCCTGTCACTGCACCAGGGAAAATAAACAGATACTTTTTCTTTTCTGGGCTAACTCAGAAGCCTAAACAATTTGTAACATCAGGAGAAGCAAGTTGGATACAGCATATAAAAATATCATCACCCTCTATCTGCCTTCTCTGTGTCTCAACTTAGTACATTCACATCATAGTCTTAACAGTTGCAGTTCAGTATTATACCAAATTTTTGAATCGCAATTGAACCTTCAACACCATGGGTTTGTACTGCATGAGTCCACATATTCACAGATTTTCTTCTACCTTTGCCATCCCTGAGACAGCAAGTCCTTCCCCTTCTCTCTCTTCCTCCTCCTCCTCCTCAGCCTACTCAGCCTACTCAATGTGAAGAACTTTATGATGATCCACTTCCACTTAATGAATAGTAAATATATCTTATTTATGATTTTCTTATTTTCTCTAACTTTATTGTAAGCATACAGTATATAGTATATATAATGTACAAAATATGTGTTAACTGATAGTTTATGTTATTGGCAAGGCTTCCTGTCAGCAGTAGCCTATTAGTAGTTAAAGTTTTTTTATTTTATTTTATTTATTTACTTATTCATTTATTTTTTAAGACAGGGTCTTGCTTTGTTGCCCAGGCTGGACTGCGGTGGCGTGATGACAGCTCACTGCAGCCTCAACCCCCCAGACTCAATCGATCCTCCTGTTTCAGCCTCCTGAGTAGCTGGGTCTACAGGCGTGCACTCACACACCTGGCTAATTTTAATTATTTATTGAGACGGGGTCTTGCTATGTTTGTTGCCCAGGCTGGTGTTGAAATCTTGGCCTCAAGTGATTCTCTTGCCTTGGCCTCCGAAAGGCCAAGTACTTGACTCAAACTCAACTACTGAGATTACAGGATAGTAGTTAAGATTTTGAGGAGTCAAAAGTGACATGTGGGTTTTTGACTGGGCTGGTGTAGGAACTTCTAACCCCCATATTATTAAAGGGTCAGTTGTATTATATATACTTCACTTTTAATAAGTGTTCTCAACTGCGAGAATGATTCCCAGTTGAGAACTGGGAGAATGATTCCCTCCTATTTTCCCTCTACCCAGGTAAGGTTCTGGTTCAGCTAAGTAAATCTAATTCTTTGATTGGCCCCTTTGCTTTAATCTTCCCTAGGTTGTGTTCCTAGCCCCCAATTTTTCCTATCTGCTTTGAGATCTCCAGAATACATTTGGTTGGAGGGAAGGTTGGGGATACTTTCTTTGAAAAGTTAAAAGTCAGTGACTTATAATTAAAGTACTTGAATTAAGGTCACACATGAGAATTTCAGTGAACATAGAGCTTGTCAATCAACAGGTCAAGTGCCGAATTTCATATCTTTCTTTGATTTCACAGAGAAGTCAGAAAGAAGTGTGTTAGAATGTATTTGTACTTATAATCTGTCTTTTTCTCAAATTTATTTTAGATCTATCTATCCTCCTCAGAGAATTCAGGTTCTTAAGGGTAGAAAATGTGTCATATTTTTAGGTGTTTATTTTTGTTTCTCAAACTACCTACCTTTCTTTTGTTATGTAATAGGCATATAATATTTATTAAAGAGAATTTATATCTAAGGGAAATGCCAGCATTTTTAGTACATAGGAGACATATAGGTTTCTAATTCTAATCTGAATGGAAATGCCTGGCTCACAAAATTGTTTCTGCTTTAGTCTTTGCTGAAAACCAAATTAAAAAACAATTTTGTGAGCTTTGGCTTAAACTCTTTAATAATCGTCTTTTAATATTTGTGATGTATTTGTTGGACACTGGGAACATACCAAAATAGTTTTTCAAGTTGCACGAATATGTTAAGAGTTTTAGTTTTAATTAATAGAATTTATTTTATAAAATTATAATATAAAACATTATATTTAGTTTAGAAGAAGTTAACTTTATAACATCTATTCTCTTTTTTTTGAAGTGATCCTTATTTCCATGGATTTAGTATACAGCTGAACATACCTAATCCAAAAATTCAAAATCGCAAATGCTCCCAAATCCAAAACTTTTGAGCACCCATATGATGCCTCAAGTGGAAAATTTCACACCCGACCTCATGTGGTGGATCACAGTCAAAATGTACATGCACAACACACAATTTATTTAGTGTACCAAAGGGAAAAAAGACTCCCTCAGCCCCCTTTAGCTGCACTATCTTTTTCACACATTTCCATGTCCCCCCGACACAAGCATTCATGGAAAGGGTAATAAAATGGCACATGTACATGCTGGACATGCCAGGGGCAGGTTTCCTACAATGCCCCACATGGGGCCAAGACCTATGTGCATTACTCACTGTGTTATTTTGCTTACTATCTACTCTGTGTTATAAAGATACTGCTGAAAATGTCAGAAGAAATAGGCCTACATCACATAACCCTATGGGTTACAGTGATAAGAAAAAGGGAACATTTATGTTTAGCACAAAAAGTCAAGCAGTTGGGGAAACTGGACAGTGGTGTCAGTGTGAAACATCCTACAGATGAGTATGGGGTTGGAATGACCACTATATATGGCCTGAAGAAACAGAAGGATAAACTGTGCTATGTGAGAAGTGATAAGCAGATCTTAATGAAAAATGGAAAAACACTGCACAAAGCCAAAAGTGAAGGTTTCAATCTTGTATGGAAAGAGCTGATCTGTCAGTGTTGCAATGAATCCATGCCACTTAATGGTACGCTGATCATGAAACAAACAAGGTTCTATCACAATGAACTGAAAACTGAGGAAAACTGCGTGAATGTTCAAAAGGCTAGTTGCAGAAATTTAAGGAAAGATGTGACATTAAATGTTTAGAGATTTTCAGTGATGAAGCATCTACTGATTACAAAGCAGTGGAGAAATTCATTGACAAGTGTGCAAAGGTCATTGCTGATGAAAATCTGACACCTGAACAAGTCTATAATGCTGGTGAAGTATCACTGTGTTGGCATATTGCCCCAGAAAGACACTGACTACAGCTGATGAGACAGCCCCTGTGGGAATTAAGGATGCCAAGGACAGAATAACTGTGCTGGGATGTGCTAATGCAGCAGGCATGCATAAGTGTAAACTTGCTGTGATAGGAAAAGCCTGCATCCTTGCTGTTTTCAAAGAGTGAATTTTTTTAAATGGTCCATTACTATGCAAACAAAAAGGCATGAACCACCAGGGACACCTTTTCTAATTGGTTTCACAAACATTTTGTATCAGCAGCTGGTGCTCACTGCAGGGAAGCTGGACTGGATGAGGACTTGAAAGATTTTGTTCTTCCTTGATAGCTGTTCTGCTCATCCCCCAGCTGGAATCCTCATCAGAAATAATATTTATGCCATGTACATTCTCCTAAATATGACTATTATTTCAGCCATGTGACCAAGGTATCCATAGATCAATAAGGAGTAAATATAAAAAACACTTTCTTGAACAGCATACTAGCAGCAATGAACAGAAGCATAGTGTGGAAAGTTTTCAAAAGAAGTTTAGCATGAAGGATGCTATATGTGCTGTTGCAAATGCTTGGAATACAGTGACTAAAAGACACAGTTGTACATGCCTGGCCCAACCTCTGGCTTGCAACTATGCTCAGTGATGATGATGACCAAGGTGGGGACTTTGAAGGATTCCATGTCAAGTGAGAAAAAAATGATGTCTGATCTCCCTACATATGGAAAAAAATACACCTTGAAAGTCTGTTAGTAAGCTGAAAGAAGTGGATATTGAAGAAGTTTTTAACATTGATAATGAGGTTGCAGTTATTCATTCATTGACTGAAAGTAAAATAGCCAAAATGGTACTGAATCAAAGTGATCATGATAATAGTGATGGTGAAAATGACTTTAACACTGTAGAAAAAGTGCCCATACACAACATGATAAAAATGTGTAATGGGCTTATTGAAAGATGAGAGCAGCGGGCATTCATAACAGAAGAAGAAATCATGTCAGTTTATAAAATCGAAGCCAGACTTCTAAGACACAAACCATTGTTAATGAGGCAGATGACTCTGGAGGAAACAAAGAAACCATCAGGCAGAATGCATCCTTATCCTTAGAGGGGCCACTTTCTGTTCCCTCAACTGTTTCTGATATTTCTTCTTATCTAAAAACATAAAATATACCATACAGTAACATTTTCATCAAAGCACAGCATTGTAGGTAGACACTGAAAGCCTACTGTTCTTTGTTGTTGCTGTTATTTAAGAAATTGGTTTTGCTACTGTGCTGCTTTGGCTTGCCTGGGCACGTTGTTTTTTTACTGTTTAATGTTATGTCATATTTTTTCCGTTGAATACTTATGTATGGATAAGGGTAGAAAAATGATTGCTTTTCGGCAGCATATAAATTCAGAGTCAGGGGCCAGGCACGGTGGCTCATGTCGGTAATCACAGCATTTTGGGAAGCCAAAGTGGGCAGATTGCTTGAGCGAAGGAGTTTGAGACCAGCATGGACAACGTGGCAAAACCCTGTCTCTATAAAAAAATACAAAAATTACCTGGGTATGGTGGCACACACCTGTGATTCCAGCTAATTGGGAGGATCACTTGAACTAATTGGAAAGATCTCCTGAGTGTGGTGTTGTAGGAGATACTAAGAAATTATTTTAGGCAGATACAGAGGCAAAGGATCCTTGGGAAGTTTTCATTTTTTTAAAGCATTTCCAGAAAAGTTTCCTGTAAAGCCCTGGCTGGCAACCTTTGATCTGCAAATGCCAGCCATTAGACACTGGGTCCACCCAAACGTGGTGATTCCCAGAGGGGCCTTCTTGCCCTTTCCCAGTGTGTTCCTGGCAATATGGCCGCCCCCACATATCCCCACGTGTGTAGAACATCATGGCACCCTTCATTTGCATATTAAAAGGCTAGAGTGGGAGGGCCAGCTTTTTCGCAGGCTTCCTAAATGACACGCCTAGTCAAACCAATCCCCTAAGCCCTGTGCAAATCAGACACCACTTCCTCCAGCCTCTGTATATGCACATGGCTGGTATCCAGGCAGGTGGGGACCTCCTCTTTTGGCTTTGGAGCCCCTCTCCCTCTGTCTCTGTACAAAGGAGCTTCTTCCTTCTCCCTTCCTTCTTGCCTCTTCTTGACTATTAAACGGTTCGCTCCTTAAAACCACTCCACATGTGTCTGTGTAGTCTGATCTAATTTGATGTGAGACAAGAGCCCTGGTGTTCCTCCACTCATCAGAGCTGTATCACTGGGATGTCAAGGTTGCAGTGGGCCAAGATCATGCCACTGTACTCCAGCTCTCCAGCCTGGGCAACAGAATGAGACCCTGTATCCAACAACAACAACAACAACAAAAATTATAGTCAGGAATGATAATGATGCTAAATAACCACAGACTGAACTTGGTGGTGAAGATATTGACACCTTCGCCTTCTGATCAGTTTTATGCACAATATTATTAAAAGTATTATATAACATTACCTGCAGGCTATATGTATAGGATGTATATGAAACTAATGAATTTTATGTTTAGACTTGGGTCCCACGCCCAAGATATCTCATTATGTACATGAAAATAATCCAAAATCTGAAAAAAAAAAAAAAAAAAAAAAAGTCAAAATCCAAAATACTTCTGGCCCGAAGCATTTTGGTTAAGGGATACTCAACCTGTACTACAAACTTTTAATGCTTCTGTTTCTTGAAAAAAAGAACTCCATTTTATTCTTAATGTGCTCAAATAGCTCAACTGTCTTGGTAGTCACATAACTGGTGCTAGCTTTCCAGTAAAAATGTATATCCTTTTTTGGATAAACAGCCCTAAGTTTTCTGAACTAAGATACAAATATTTCAAGATATACCTTAGTGTATTATATAAATTAAAAAATACTGCTCTAGGCTGAGAACAACTACTTTTCAAGTACCCATAGACATTTATAAAAATCCACTCATGACAAAAATGTTATACATTTTAAAAAGCAGATATTTTATAGGATATAATTTCTGACCACTAAATAATAAACTAGCAGCTATCACATAAAACAAATATAAGGGAAATCCTAGTCTCATTAAAAGGTTTCTCTCTCTCTCTCTCTCTCTCTCTCTCACACCCTCACCCTCATCCTCATCCTCAGCCTCAGCCTCACCTGGGAGGTGGAAGTTGCACTGAGGCAAGATCCACCTTCCAGGTTCAAGCAATTCTTGTGTCTCAGCCACCTGAGTAGCTGGAACTACAGGTGTGTGCTACCACAGGTGGCTAATTTTTGTATTTTTAGTAAAGATGGGTTTTCACCATGTAAACCAGACTGGTCTCAAACTCTTGGCCTCAAGTGATTCTTCTGCCCTGGCCTCCCAAAGTACTGGGATTATAGGTGTGAGCTACGGCACCCGACCAAGAGATAAAATTTCTAAACTTGTGTAATTTCCTTAATACTAATAAAACAATTAAAATCAACTAAATATTCTCATTAGGCATAATTAACCATAGTCACAAGGAAGACCTAAGAAAAGCAAAAGAAAAAACAAACCAGAATTGATGATTTAGAAAACAAAACAAAAATTAGAACTGTTTGAAGTATACACATAAAAAAATGGAGACAATTTGGAGAAATCCGTAATTAAAAAAAATATATATATATATTTTTGAGACGGAGTCTTGCTCTGTCGCCCAGGCTGGAGTGCAGTGGCATGATCTCAGCTCACTGCAAACTCTGCCTCCCGGGTTCATGCCATTCTCCTGCATCAGCTTCCCGAGTAGCTGGGACTACAGGTGCCCGCCACCACGCCTGGCTAATTTTTCTGGATTTTTAGTAGAGATGGGGTTTCACTGTGTTAGTCAGGATGGTCTCGATCTCCTGACCTCGCTATCTGCCCACCTCGGCCTCCCAAAGTGCTGGGATTACAGGCGTGAGCCACCGCGCCCAGCCTAAAAAATATTTTTAGATAAATTTTTCTTATGGACCTAAATACCCCTTTAATATTTATCATATATATTAAATTTTTGTTATCTTTTGGGAAAAATATGAAAATAAAAAATGTGTATTAACTCCTTTTTAGAAGTGAGTTCTGCATATGTAATTGTGCATTGTTGCAGCTAAAGATACATGCAATACTTATATTTGTGTACTATTCATGCTAATTTATTCTTTAATGTTGGTATTAAAGATCAGAAATCACTGACTCATTAAAGCAACCTTAGAGTTGGTAATGCTGTCAGGATGAATCATTTGTGATCCAAGAGTAGTCACACAGGGTCTGGATATCTTCTTTTGAAGAAGATACTTGATTGCCAACAAACTTGTCTGCTGTCTCTTCCCTGAAAAGCTCGGTGATCTATGTTGGCATATGCTCATCTTATGGGGTTGTTATAGAATTTGAGGGGATCTTCTTAAGAAAACAGAATACGACATTGTGTAACCAAAAATTTGAGATGAGAAAGAATATTTATTTAGGATGAGGAAAGAAATCTTGACAATTTACTGAAGTCATTCATGCAGATTTCATCTGACATTCCTTCAGGCAAATTTCCATATATGCTCGCATACTTCATAATTCTAAACTGGCTTTCCTCTCACCTACACTGAACACCTACAACACTAAACACCTCCCAACACTTCTCAGTACTTATAGGGGCCCATGTCAAATAAGAGGACTGACGGTTAAACTTCATTAGGTTCGCAGTATCTCTCTCTGGTTTAGATATATGAAAAAACTGTCTATTGTATACCAGACATTTTTGTAGATGTGAAAAAACAGCTTGGAATAAAGGCCCAACTTTTATAGTTTATAATTCAGTGGTAGGATAGTCAGTAAGCCAAATATGAATATAAATATATCTGATCATGAGAAAGGCTATGGGGAAAAAGAGTAGGTATATGGAGAGAATGAGAGGGGGAATGAGAAAGTGACTAGGGAGACTTCTCTGAACAAATTACATTGAAGTTAAAATCTGAAAGAAGTAAAGGGAGTGAGTGCATTGCATATGTGGTGATACCACTTTCTGACAGAGAAAACAAAAAGTAAAATGGCTCTGGCATTGGAGAGGGCCAGACCTACTGGCATCACCAGAATAGAGTGAAAGAAAGTTGTGGGAAATGAAATTTGAGAGGATGTAAAGGGGATAATTTATATAGGACCTTGTAAAGACATTGGCTTTGATGTTCGGTGAAACAGACGACCATCCAGTGTTTCTGACCAGAGGCATGTTATGATCAACCTCATATTGTGAAAGGTCAATGAGAACAAGAGTAGATGAAGTGGAATGATTACCTTTTCAGTGTACTTTCAAGGTAGCGCCAATAAAATTTGCAAATGAATTGAGTTCTGGGAGAAGTAGAGGAGTCAGTGATGAAGGCAATATCTTTTTATCTTAGGCAACTAGAGAAAGATAAGTGTCTTTTCTGCAGAAGAGGAAGTCCTGGGGACATGGAGGTGAGGGGTGGGGGTGGGTCACAGAAGGGTATGCAGAAAGTATGATGGTGGCTAAGATCAGGAGTGAATATTTAAGCATATTGAGGTCCAGAGGCCTACTGGACATTCAAGTGGAAATGTTGATACTGTTTAATGATATAGTGCCTGAAGTTTAAGGATTTTTTGGGGCTGCACATACAAATTTGCATCAGTGGATACAGATGGTCTTTGCAACCATGGATTCATTAGATTCCCTAAGGAATGAATTCACAATAAGTAAAGACCTGAGGACTGAGTGTCAGGCACTTAAAACTGCATAGTGTGAGAAGATGAGAAAAGCCAGCAGAGCTTGAAGAAGAACCAAAGGAGAACTGCTTTGATAAAAGCCAAGAAGTATATTTCAAGAAGGAGGAAATAACTGTCACATTCTATGGATAGAATGAGTGATATTCGGACTATCAAATTGTTATCTAATGTTGTGTTTGCAAAGACTGTAGAGGCAGTAGAATCACAATTTAACTGGTCCCTATGTCCCCTGATATCTTAAAATCTCTGCCATATTGCTGCTATTAAGCATCCTAAAATTAGATCTAATATAGAGAATGCGGTCAGCTGGCCACAATGTGGTAGCAAGGCAGAAACAGCCAAAGTGTGGTTTCAGTACCTCAGCAAATTTTAAAAGGCATGGAGCTATGCAGCTAGTAGTGCAGGAGCTTGCTAGAGATACAGGGAAGCTGGATTATTATTGACTCTAATATTCTCTACTTCCTTTCCTGCCCTGGGGTTTGTAGAGCTCTTCTGTGCAGTTGGTGGCAAGCATAGGCAGGGAAAAAACCTTGGTAAACATAATTTTTTTAAGTGGAAACAAATTTTTAAATGCACTTAGAAAAACTTCTTCCAGCAAAATGTAAAACCTTCCTTTAAAATTTTTTCCAAAGGTAAGTGTATGATTGTTCTGGAATGATTTAATGTATATAGGGATTGCAGTGGTTTGAACGTGTCCTCCAAAGTTCATGTGCTGGAAGTTTATCCCCATTGTAACAGTGTTGGGAGGTGGAGACTGATGAGAGGTGATTGGGCCATGAGAGCTCTGCCTTCATGAATAGATTAATGCTGTTATCATGAGAGTGAGTTGCTTATAAAAGGATGAATTTAGCCCCCTTTTCTTTCTTCATTGCATGTACTTTTTCATCCTCTTACCCTCTGTCATGAGACGACACTGCAAGAAGGCTCTCACCACATTCCAGTGTTGATTTTAGACTTCTCAGCCTCCAGAACTGTGAGAAAATAAATTTCTGTTTCTTAAAAATTTAGCACAATTCAGACTAAGTCAGTGACTATGCAAAAATATGAAGTATTGTTACATGATCTGTTTTACAGTGTAGGCCAGTCAGTCAAGTTAAATGCAATCAAGAAATTAAACTATGTTTTAAACCAATAATTTTGTTTTTCACTCTAATCTTACACTCGAAACAAAATTTAATTTTCTGAATGACTTTTCAAGAAATTGACAGTACATCCTGAATTGAATAAATGATGACAACATGCTTAGAATGTAGATGACACTGGATGTTATAGCCCTTCTTACTATCCCCAAGGCTAAAATCTTAAAAAGAAAAAAAATCTGGGTGTCACTTTAAAAATTGTGGTTGAGCCCCGAATCAGAGAGTAAACTGTCACATTACTTCCTTCGGTAAATGCAATGAAAATTTATTTTGAAAAGTTCTAATTCCAAAGTTAGATAATTTTACATTAAATGAAGATGTGTGTACATATATGAGAAATTTGAGAATTTTATGACTACTCTATTTAAAGATTTTTTCTTAACTAATGCTTCTAGAATAAAACAATAAGGCCTCTATTTGTAAATTCAATTTTTTTTGGAGAGCTTTAATTTTTTTCAGATTATCTTTGTTCCCTTACTGAAGTAAAGGCGCATTTGTCGCTGACTGCAAGTTGAAAAATACAAACATGACATATTTTAATCCATGAAGACTCAGACTTTTGCATAAAAGCTAAAATTATAAAAGCAGCTATAGTTATAACCTTAAAATGTCCCTAAATTACTAGACTTTATACCAAACTCCTAACATTTACCACTTCCTCAGTTGGTTGCTAGATTGTGTGCATGTGTAAGATAAATTGGTTTTACAACAGACACATATTCTAAACCAAATACCCACATACACACTAACATCCACATTGTAGCATATAGTTTATTGCAAACTAAAAACTTAATGGAGGATGTAGATGACATTTCAAAGAATTGAATATGGCTGGTCTCCTTTTCTTTCTATTCTTCCTTAATAGTATGCAGATGCTGTCTAAAATTCTGTGTGTCCTATGTCTTTGTATTTTTCGCTATACTCTTGGGAGAGGGGAGGAGCTTCTTATCAAAGGGCACAACGTTCAGATAATAAAATAGCAATTGATTTATTCCCAGTCCTTATGTGAATAATAAAATGTGACCCGTAGCACCCATATTTTGATTTCTATTATTATTTTTCACTAATGAAACCATAGCTTTTAGACTATAGTTCAATCCTAAAAGAATTTTTTTCTATCCAAATTCTTCTGAAAATATCAGAGGGTAATATAATAAGGACAAAGGAATGGACTTGAAGAGGCTTCTACACTGACTAGCAATAATTAGATTTGTAGATATAGAGAAAAGTTGAATCTATACAGGTAATTTGTCCACTTTTTTTTTTTTTAATTGAGATGGAGTCTCACTCTGTCGCCCAGGCTGGAATGCAATGGCACAATCTCGGCTTACTGAAACCTCCGCCTCCCGGGTTCAAGTGATTCTACTGCCTCAGTCTCCCGAGTAGCTGGGATTACAGGTGCCCACCACTACATCCAACTACTTTTTGTATTCTTAGCAGAGACCGAGTTTCACCATGTTGGCCAGGCTGGTCTCGAACTCCTGTCCTCAAGTGATCAGCCCGCCTTGGCCTCCCAAGGTGCTGGGATTACAGGTGTAAGCCACTGCGCCCGGCCTCTCCACTCTTATACTCTACAGGGGCAGACATTACAAACTGTAAAGACATATGAGTTCCCAGTGGTGTTCACTAAAGTGTTATATGTTGTTCCACAAGTCATGCACTAAAATTTATACTACCCCTAGGCTAACACTCAAAGATGACATATAAAAATTTTAATTGCACATAGTATTCTTTAGAAATAATGATTGCTTATTTTGTAAATTTTATATTTAAAGTATTATAGTAGTGCTGTTTAATAATGAATTTAAGATAGCTTACCCATCTAGAAATTGAGCCATGTAAAACCAAGGTAAAAACATCAGATATGTAAAACTGGTAATATACACAAGGTATCAAGATGGTTCTTATCAAATGAATACGAAAGGTATTCTTCATATATAAAGGTTAAATATTGAAGCATCTGAATTGCTCCCTGCCTATAAAAAGTAGAGCTGTGTAAAATTAAGATAATACAGAAGTAATTGATTAAAACAACAATTTTGAGATAAAATAGCTCTTTCTGACAGAGTGGCTGTGGGTGCCACCTGCTGGGTGGTGGCTTGGACTTAACGCTACTTAAACTTCGGGAACCTGACTGCTCACTGAGCCAGACTGTCCTAACATACTATTGTGATAGCTAATTTTATGTGCTAACTTCACTGGGGTGCGGGTGACCAGATATTTGGTTAATCATTATTCTGGATGTGTCTGTGAGGATATTTCTGGGGAAGATTAACTTTTGAATCCATAGAGTTATTATAGTAAAGCAGACTGTCCTCCGCAATGTGGCAGAGCTTTCATCTTGGAAGCCTGAATAAAACAAAACTACTGAGTAAAAGAGAGTTCATTCTCTCTCTCTCCTCCTGTCTTCCAGCTGGACATCGATTATCTGTTTTCAGACTCACACTGGAACTTACAGCATCAGCTTTCGTGAGTCTCCAGCTTGCCACCTAAGGATCTTGAAACTTCTTAACTTCTGTAATGACAGGAGCCAATTCCTTATAATAAATCTCGGTGTCTCTCTCTTTACACATACAGACACACACATGCACATACATAAGATATCCTATTGCTCCTGTTTCTCTGGAGAACCTTGACTAACACACTACCTATGCCCAATACCTAAGGCAATGCAGTGAATACAAATAATCAAAACATAATTTATAATTATCCTACCAAATATAAAAGAATTTAAAAACCATGTAACATAAAGTTAAAAAGTTATACATGATGTTTATTTAAATGAATCAATATCTGTCACTGTTAGAACCTAAGAGAGATTTGGGACACATAACACAAAGATCTGAATTAGCAGTAAAACTTATTACCTAAAAAAAATGATAATTTGTCCCATCTTTTGTGAGTCAAGGGTCAGGAGAGCCACAAATAGCATTATCATAACTGACAAACTAAAATTATCTGTAACTTTCTTACCTGTTTCAATGAAAAAAAAAAGTTTGACTTTATATTAAAATGTTAACATAAAAAGAGACTCGAAATTATAAACTGAAAACACTATTAAGTCAATCGTATATTGCATAATTAAATGATTCTACCTGTAAATTGTGATCTACTTTTATAAGTAAAATTAAAAGGTACCATTATTTGACAGCCGTTAACTTCTTTTTCTTGTTAAATCATATGTTGTTATTTCAGTAGATTATTCACTGTGAAACCAAATTGTTTAGATAGATAACTTGTCACCATTTTTTGGTTTTTAGTTATTTATTCATAAGTTCAGGCATTCATCCATTCATATAACAAATTCTTATTGAGGGAGTCACCACATGTCAAACACAGTACCATGTACTGGGGAAACATTACTGAACAAAGCAGTCAAAAATTCCTGCCTTTACAGTGTACATTGTAGAACGTAGAGATGGATAATGAACAGCAAGTTGTCTAAATAATTTTATTTGTTATATTAAAAGATGATAAATGCTGTGGGGAAAATATAGCAAGGGATAAGGCAGATTGGAAATATTGTAGAACAGGTTACAAATTTTAATGATGTGGTCAGGTTAGATCTTATTTAAAGGTAACTTTGAGCAAAGAAATAAAAAAATGTAGAAAGGTAGAGAAGATATATCTGGTGAAAAAGTGTTCTAGGTATTAAAAAAGCCAGAATAAAGGAAAATGTTGTCTCTATAAAAATATTTTTGTCATTGATTCCAAATCAATAAGAAAGATATTGATGTGGAATGTTTCACTAAGTGTTCAAATTGCATTTTATGGCCCAAAGCTCCCTAATACTCATAACACATTTAGTAATTTTTCTCTCCATGGAAGAAGATAGCAATACAAAGTAATGATGATAAACTCCTGTCTTCAAATAGAGCTGATAGAGATCCATGTGGATTCTTCTGAAAATGGTAACTTTTACAGCATTGAAACAAATTAAGTTATAAAATGATTTCCAAATTCTAGCAAGAAATCTATATCAGATTACTATTTAATGCTATTGTCAAAGAATGCCTTGCCACTAAGCCCTCCTTTAACGAGACAATGGATTTGGGATTGGAAGTCATCAAAAATCTTGCTGGCCTAGGCATGTCACAAAAGGGGTCTGAAAGCTATTCACTTTTGAAGCAGTTTGCCTGATGGGAGGCAAGAACTGTCCAAGGGTCTACCTCACAAACTGGTGGAGAATCCAGTTTGGATTCTGCATGTGAAAAAAGTACTCATACCACAAACAGACGGCTGAAACCACATAAGGCAAATACGGAAATAGGAGTGATTTGCCAACCAGAATGTTGTATAATGTTGTTTGGTTTAAGAAGAAATAAGGGTAGGAAAATAATCCTCTGAATAGAGGTATCCTGACATATATGCCTTTTGCCTATTAAAATAACTGAACATTGAAAATTAAATCTGACCTTGAGTATTTTAACTCAACCAGCCACTCAACCTCAAATCTCTTTTTTTCCTAATTAGCAGTTTCCTATTTTTCATTGCGTTGTCTCTGTGTTTGTGTGTGCATAAAAGAGAGAGATTGAGAGAGAGAGACATCTGGTGCTTAGTACATCTTCTATTTTAACTAGGATTCACCTACAGAGTTTCCATTGAAAAGTTACCAAAACATTTATTTCTATTTTAGGGAAATCAGTATTGTGGTGTATATTTTCTGTTACTATTTTCACTGGAGGAAAAGCCCTCAAGTAGGCCACGGAATTGTGGAAAGAAAGTGTAAGAAGATTTTTCCCCTCATGACAAAGGACAATCCTCCCCTACACCTTGGTGTATGGAGCACGAAGGCTGCTGAGAAAGAGGGTAGGCAGTTTTTATTAAGAGCCAAGAAACTTCTTGGGAAGAAAGAAATCAAGACCCTGACACACTTTGGGATGGGGTTGGGGACACCGAGTGTATGTTATGAACAGTTAGCCCTTGTAGATCAATAGACAGGAAAGGACACCAAGCAAACTCACCAAAACCCAAAGAGAAACTAACCATGAGAAGGAAGAGAGTCAAGTTCTATGTAAACAAAGGCTTCACTAGTGCAAAGGAGGAGCTAGTCTTGAGCTGACAGAGAAACACCCTCTGCCCACTCAACGCTGGAACCTGGGTATTCTCTAGGAAGATAGCCACCTATTTTGGTGTAACCTAGGGATTCTGTGTCATTTTAACACTACAGGAATCTTTCTTTCTCTGATCTTGAAGAATGACTGTATCTTGGATCTGTACTGATGGTTCCAGAAGCAATGGGTAAAGGGAGTACAATTTCTAGCCTTTCCTGTTGGCAACCAAGGTTTCAGGGGTCCGTGACAGTGTGTTTTAGCACATCAACTGGACATTCTAGGATGCCTTATTGTGGTTGTGGCATCCTCAAGCCTCCAAGAGCTTGAGGGTTCTATTTCCAGTAATAAGAAAAAGGTAACAAAATGTTAATCCTTAGACTGAATAAGCCTAAGGAATTATTAGTGTTTGCCCAGGAGGGTAATCTCGGAGTAAAAAAGAAAGAATTATCGGCTGGGCGCGGTGGCTTACGCCTGTAATTCCAGCACTTTGGGATGCCGAGGCGGGCAGATCACGAGGTCAGGAGATGGAGACCATCCTGGCTAACACGGTGAAACCCTGTGTCTACTAAAAATACAAATTTAGCCTGGCGTGGTTGCGGGCGCCTGTAGTCCCAGCTACTCGGGAGGCTGAGGCAGGAGAATGGCGTGAACCTGGGAGAAGAGCTTGCAGTGAGCCGAGATCGCGCCACTGCACTCCAGCCTGGGCGACGGAACGAGACTCCGTCTCAAAAAAAAAAAAAAAAAAGAAAAGAAAAATTTTCCTGACTGTGACAATGTAACTGAGTAGCTTAGCCTCACACTGTGTTTTAAAAATTTTGTTTCCTGTAGTCCCTGCTACTTGGGAGGCGGAGGCAGGAGAATCGCTTGAACCTGGGAGGCGGAGGTTTGCAGTGAGTTGAGATCACGGCACTGCACTCCAGCCTGATGACAGAGTGAGACTCCGTCTAAAAAAAACCCAAAAAATAAAAAACAAAAACTTTTATTTTCTTTCCTTCTTTCTTCCCAGTCTCAAGGTGTGCTTTGAGACAAACTACAGATGTGTTTTCTTTCATCTTGAAATACAGCCTTGGAATGTGCTTTAAAACTCCTCTCCCTTCCCTTTCCCACCTTATGCTCCCATGCCTTATGCACATTTATTTACCTGTGTGCTTGTTAAGCTCACACCATGCTCGCTTATCTAATCACCTATCTCCGTAGAAGCTTCAGTGGCTGAAGCCTGATATGAACCAGGCACCTCCAGAATTCTCTCCCTAGCAGGGGATTACTTCCAGGCTGGAGTTCACTTCAGGCTAGAGACTGACTGCAAGACTGACTGATTCATTTGTACCATGGTTGAGCCCATGATGCTGCCAGCCCCTTCACCAGATGGAACAGTAATTCAAGATAAGCCATCAGAGCCACCCACACTGCCTGGCACTTCCTAGCCCTGATACCTCTTCTGCATTCCAAGCCCCTTTTCTTAAACCCCTGCCCTCTCTCCAGAAATTGGAAAGTGGCAATTTTTGGAAAGGATTCTGGCCACTTTCCCCCTTGCTGTCAACAAATAATAAAATTCACTCTCTTTTTATCATACCTTACTCTTCCTATAAGCAGCAAGCAGATGGACCCTCTTTCGGTTACAGGAAGGACAATGAAAGTCACTTAAAATTGAACATTAGGCTGGGCGCAGTAGGTCATGCCTGTAATCTCAGCAGTTTGGGAGGCCAAGGCAGGCAGATCATTTGAGGTCAAGAGTTTGAGACCAGCCTGGTCAACATGGTGAAACCGCTTCTCTACTAAAAATACAAAATTAGCCGGGCGTGGTGGTGCACGCCTGTAATCCCAGCTACTTCAGAGGCTGAGGCAGGAGAATCACTTGAACCCAGAAGGTGGAGTTTGCAGTAAGCCAAGATCGCGTCATTGCATTCCACCCTGGGTGACACAGCGAGACTCCATCTCAAATAAATAAATAAATAAAATTTAAAAATTAAAAAAAATGAACATTTAAGAGTTGTGACCTTATCTCATGCCCAAAATTAGTAAAGCATAATTAAGCTTAGAAAAAAGGCTGTGTGTATGTGTATAAAATAATAACATATGTATGTTACCAATGGTTATCTCTGAGCATTGGGTTTGCTGGAGTCCCTCTTCTTTAGATCCCTGAGGAGACTGAGGATAACTTCGGAGAATTACAGGTTCTCCTGCAGAATAAAGTCTGACTAATCAGTGGGACTTTGCAAGGCCACACAGTGAATTAGATGGAGAGCCAATCAAGTTTCCCAACTGCTAGGCTAGTTTTCTGTGTGCCAGTGCATGCTGCTTTTAACAAGCTCATATTTAAAGGTTGTTTATACTGTAGTTGACATGTGTGACTTTATGATACCCAGTAATCATTTCTCCTTTTTCTGATAACAGTACTTCAATTTTGCTTTTATGGAACCATCCTGCCTCCATTCACAGAATATTTTTTTAAGTGGGAATTCCATCTCCAACCCCAACAGTGGGTACCTAATGTGGGTCTAAGCCTATTCATATATGCCTGCCCAGGTCAAAGTGCATGTGACTCAATCTGGGCAGGTGAAACAGAGTGAATGTAAGGACTCGTGAGGGAGATTTCAGAAAGAAAACTGCTCTCTCTTGCTTGTGGTGTTGAGATACTGTGAGCCTGCATATGCAAGGCATGTGATGGTCCAGCCAACCCAGGGGAAACAGAACTGAGAAACACTTTCTACTATTCTCAACTCCCTTTCTTGTTTCTTCTCAAATATTTGCCCTGTGTATCTGCTGACTTGGAGGAAAGGGGTACTATAGCAAGAATAACCTAAGGCATGCATTTAAATGTAGTAAGTATGGCTCCAGGAATGCCTGAACATCTATTTCAGAGAATATAGGTTTATTCAATCGGTCACTTTGTAGCTCCACTTTAATCTTATTCACATTCTCATCTATGTTTGTTTAATGCAAGCTGTATTCAAGCCAGTGTGGACCTAAACTGGTTCTGTTCAGTCCTGTCTCTGCTAAGCTTTCTCTCCGGATGATATTGTACAATGGCTTTGGTCACTACTATTTAAGGATCGTGATGATGGTGTTGTTGGTAGCGGTGCATGTTTCTGGTGGAGAATGGAAATGGAAAGTTAAGAATGCATTACTGAGAGACATTGCCTTTTCAAAAATAACCGAAATGCGTTTAAGTTTTCAGGGTGCCTGAGATTAGTAGAAATATCCCTGGAATCACATATACTCCAGGCACAAACAAGTCCTGCTGATATTTCTGGTAAGCAAAACAGTATAGTATTCCAATGTGTCTGCAGGTAGCGTGCTTCTCTTTTAGCTTTCATTCCACCATTGGTCCCCAAATTTCTCTATTTCTTTTTGAGAGTTTTAGAGAGAAATTTAGAGCTTTGACAGATAGGCAAACAGGCATCAGGCAAACAGGCTCTGAACCTCCTAAATTCCACACTATGTAAGAACCATTTGGTTTCTGATATTCCAGAGATGGTTAAAAATTGCGTGGAATAAACTGGTTGATCAAATTCTTGCTGTCTTTTAAGTAAAGCCTCTCTGAGGTGAAAACAGATTTCCTATTGGTGATATGTGTGCATGCAAGATAACATTGGCTGTTGTGAGTGGTGGGTATAAAAAGATCTAACCAGAGCAGGTATTAAAGAAAACTCACAAGTAGAAGTCCCCTTTTCCTCCTTTTCCTCCTTTTATCATTCTTCTTCTCTTTCTTTCTCTGCTTTTCCTCCTCCTCCTCCTCACTTTAACGTACACTTAAATGGCCAAGTTCACACTGACCCTTAACTCATTAGGATGTCATGCTGGGCAGTCTCTCATTTTTAGATTTTTTTTTGTTATTATTCTTTTATTTTCTGACTTCTTTTTCATCTTATTTTCCACTTCACCAAATCTCAACCATTCTTGTTCTATATCACATTCTTTCAGTGTTACTTGGTTTTCAAACTTAATCTTATAAATAAAGGCAATCATAGATAGTAGCTGCTTTCCCCCATCATAAAACCATTTACATCTGAAAGGAGTCCTGCTGGAGGTGAATTTCCCACCCTCAGATTAGAATCGTCAATTCTGGAATATTAGGCATCACAGAAGGTGAATTGATGAGATTTTTTTGGGGGGTAAAAAATATGTTTTCATGGTCCTTCTTGGACAATATTACCCTGGTAGTGACTTACTCTACTTAGGTTGCCCATGTGTAAATGGGCACAGAATGAGCAATTACAAAACTCTGGGCCTCTGAGCCAAGTTTAAAAGTACATCAGGAAGCAATACAGACAATGACCTTTACACAGTGTGTAGCTTTCTTTACGTGGGCATCAAACCTTGAAGATTTTTCTTACAAAAGGTTGGAGAAATCTCTATAATTTCAACGGCAACAACAAAACAGACACAGGGCTTCCTAGCTTTTGTGCTTTTGAGTGGATTATAGATGTCATTTTCAATATCATTTCCTTCAGCCAAGTGGTTTTCAACTTGAGCATGAATCAAAAATCCACACCAGCACAGTTTCTGATTCTGTGGGTGTCAGGTGGAGCTTGTGAGTTTGCATTTCTAAAAAGTTGGCAAGAGATGCTGCTGTTGATGTTAGTTTGGACCGCTAGTTTGAGAATCAGCAGGTTATCAGGCCAGAGTTCAAGGAATCACATTTGATAGTCTTTAATATAATCTTCTATACACTAAAGAGATGCTCTACCTTGAGGAAATTTATTTCAGCATCCAGTGAAAACTCCCTGGGTTGCTGCTGAAGCAGTTTATGTTAGCGAAATGGAACAAGGCTCCAGATGAGCTGGTCAGAGGTGGTCAGAGAAAGCTCCTGGAGGGTGTTACTTCAGGAGCAGATCTTGAATTTGTGTGTTTGTGACAGATATGTTTTGTTGGTGCATCCAAGCTAGCTGTAGTATGACTGGTCTAAAAATGGATGCATATTCTGCAAATTAGATATTCTTCATTATTTTGAAATATATCACATACAAATGTTTTTTGGGTTTGAAATTCAGTTTCATTACTATAAGAAATTTCAACCTACCATTAGTCAATGAGAGAAAAGCAAATGCTTTTAGATTTTTTTAATATAATTTCAATTTGCTAGTTTTTAAGCAGCTATAAAAGTGAAAAAATGGTTTTAAAATGTTTATTATCTATTTGTAAATAAACTTTTTCTCATTGTGACTCCTAAGGATTTAAAGAAAGATCATCATTAAAAATCATGATTAGGAGTTGCCTGTAGCCAGCTCAATCATAAAATCAAACATAAAAATCTATTTTTGTGAAAGCAAGCTCAAGTTTCTCATTAAAGCAAAAAATTAAAAAGACTTTACTTGGAAGTTTTATGTAAATCCAAATTTGAATATCCTTTCTAACACTTTTATTCTATTTTTCTAACATGATTATATTACATTAAAAATATAACTCTTTTTTTTCACCAAGCCCTGTATAGACACTTTCAGATTCATTCAAGTTCATCCCAGTGTGGCACACAGATATAATCTTTTCCTTTTTCATGTGTGTTATAAGTGGAAAATGGTTGGAAGGCAGTGCCACGGCCCCCACTGAATGTTGATCAGTGAGGCAGAATTTAAAATTCTCTAGACTTCTCTGTCTAAAGCTGCAGACAGTAAACCGCCTGAGAGCAGATTTGTGCTGTTATGGGAAGAATCAATTGCGCTTTTCCTCTTAAAAATAATTTTAAGGTGAGTAGGTACCCATTGCTTCAGGGGGTATATGTAACCGCATCTTTTTGTGATTTGACGAAGACTGTTTCCTCAGTATTCCTTGGCATACAAGAAACAGGCCTGGGGAATAAGTGGATACATCTGTGCAAAGGGTGAGGATCCTTCTGGATCAAGATCCCAGCGAGTTTCCTTTTGAGGTTCACTGTTATTATAATAAATTTCTGTGCTAGATTAAGATGGCTCCAAATAAGACCTTCATGGAAACTGAAAGAGGAATTCACCTTTTAAGAAATGAAAATCCTAATTAGTGACTTGGATTCATGACCGCTTATGTCATGAAGGGAAGATTTATTTAGGCACAGCATTTGTTAAAAGCAAGAGGTCTCTTTCTGATCCAGATGCTTTGAATTTTCAGCCAGTATTTGAGCATAATGAATAAGTTATAAATTATATATACATATATATGATTGCATGTATATAATACATATGTATTTATGTATCTAACATGTATGCATGCAATATGTATTTATGTATATAACATATACATGTCTGTATGCATATTATATATGCATGTTTGTATATAAATGTGTGTGTTTATATATGTGTGTATGTACATATATATAAATGCAAATTAATTGTGAATTCTTATTAAGGACTAAATTTTTGGGAACCCAAGTAAAGTACTTTCTCAACTGAATATAATACTAAAAACAATGTGGTCATTTTCCTCAAAAACAAAAATAAGCAAAAACTCACCAGGCCTGGCATAGGGATCTGATTTAGGCAGAATATCCTCAAAGCTTTGGGAGACTACTTTTGGTGGCAACAGTGGCAACTTAAAATGGAGCCCAATGTTATGTACTGGTTTCTTCACCTGTGTTTGCTTGGCATTTAGAAATAGGAAGTGAAACCAAGAGAGCTATTTGATGGCTGTCTAAATTGGCCAGATATGGGATTGGGTAGGGAATTAAAATATAATAGGAAGTGCTAGTCAGAATAATCAGGCGTGAGAGAAAAATAAAGAACATCCAAATATATAAAGAAGAGGTCAAATAATCTCTCTTCACTGACAATATGATTCTATGCCTAGAAAACTATAAAGACTTTGCCAAAGGGCTCCTAAACTTGATAAATAACTTCAGTAAAATTTCAGGATACAAAGTCAATGTACTTATATCAGTATTAATTGTATATACCAATAATGTTCTTGCTGAAAGCCAAATTAAGAACATAATTCCATTTAAAATAGCCACACTAAAAAATGAAGTACCTAGAAATGCAGCTAAACAAAGAGGTGAAAGATCTCTACAAGGAGAACTATAAAACATGCTGAAAGAAATCGGAGATGACACAAATAAATGGAAAAATATTCCATGCTCATGGATTAGAAGAATCAATATCATTAAAATGGCCATACTGCCTAAAGCAATTTATAGATTCAGTGCCTTTTAATTCAATGATGTTTCGAAATACAAAGGCCACTTTTCACAGATTAGGAAAAACTGTTCTAAAATTCATATGGAACCAAAAAAGAGCCAGAATAGCCAGAGCAATCCTAAGCACAAAGAAGAATGCCAGAGGCATGACATTACCCATCTTCAAACTATAGCATAAGGCTACAGAAACCAAAACAGCATTGCTACTGGTACAAAAACAGACTTATAGACGAAAAGAACAGAATAGAGAACCCAGAAATGAAGCTGCATACCTACAACCAAATGATCTTTGACAGCCAACAAAAATAAGCAATAGGAAAGAATTCCTCATTCAATAAATGGTTCTGGGATAACTGGCTAGTGATATACAAAAGAATGAAACTGGACCCCTACCTTTCACCATTAAAAAAATTAACTCATGATGGACTAACAATTTAAATATAAGATCTCAAACTATAGAAGTCTTAGAAGAATACCTAGGAAGTATCCTTCTCGACATTGACTTTGACTTTGGCAAAAAAAAAAAAAAAAAAAAAAAAAAAAAATACATGGCTAAGTCCCCAAAAGCAATTGCAATAAAAAATTTGACAAGTGGAACCTAATTAAACTGAAGAGCTTCTGCATAGCAAAATAAATTACCAACCAAGTAAAAAGACAGCCTACAGAATGGGAGAAAATATTAGCAAACTATGCATCTGACAAAGGTCTAATATCAAGGATCTATAACGAACTTAAATCAACCAGCGAAAAAAAAATGTAATTAAAAAATAGGCAAAGAATATGAACAGACGCTTCTCAAAAGATTTACAAGTGACCAACAAACGTGAAAAATGCTCAACATCACTAATCATTACAGAAGTACAAATCAAAACAATAATAAGATACCATCTCACACCAGTCAAAATGGCAAATAATAAGCAGCCAAGAAAACAATAGATATGGGCAAGGCTGTGGGGAAAAGGGGATGCTTATATGCTGTTGTTGGGAATGCAAATCAGTTCAGCCAGCTTAGAGTTTTCTAAAAGAACTTAAAATAGAACTCCCATTCGACCAGGAATCCTGCTACTAATGAAAATAATTTATTCTATCTAAAAGACACAGGAACTTATACATTCATTGCAGCACTATTCACAATAGCAAAAACAAGGAATCAACCTAGGTGTCCATCAGCAGTGAGTAGATTGAATAAAGAAAATGATACACATACCATTGGTGGCATACATATGCCATGGACTACTATACAGCCATAAAAAAGAACAAAAATGTACCTTTTACAGCAACATGGATGGAACTGGAGGCCATTATCCTAAGCAATTTAACCCACAAGAACAGAAAATCAAATATATCATGTTTTTACTTATAAGTAGGAGCTAAACATTGAATACAAGTGAATGTAAATATGGGGAAAGTAGACACTGAGGATAGGGGCTAAAAAAATAGGGGTTGAAAAACCCCTTATTGGGTGCTATGCTCACTACTTGGATGATGGGATCACCCATACCCCAAACCTCAGCATCCCACAACATATTCATGTAACAAACCTGCACATGTGCCCTCTGAATCCAAAATAAAAGCTGAAAACAACAACAATAAAACAAGAAGATTTGACTGCAAGGTGAAGGGCATCAACCTAATTATACAATGGTAGATATATATAAGAGGCATTTTTAGAATTAAGGTCCACATTGGAGGAGAGTGAGTTTCTTTAAATTTCCTCATTGGAGGGATTTCTAACTTCAGAGGCAAATTAGGAAATCAATAACTAGAACTTTAGAAAAATATTTGAAGGATGCTATAAATAGGAGCTTTGAACAGTTTCTGATACAAAAATTTAGGATGGATATCTTCACAATTTGACCACATACTCTAATGCAGGAAAGTAAATGTTAGGATGCAGAATAGCAAGAGATGGGAGAGTTGACACACTTAATGCAAAAGGTGAATGATGTATAACCAAAAAAAAAAAAAAATCTTTGGAAAATCTGGGACAGGTACTTTGTTGAACATGTCTGAAGATGGATTTGAGTTAATACTCTCATTACCAGTTTACTTTTTTGTAGTTTCAGATCTCTCTCTTTCTCTCCCTCTCTCTATATAAAGATATAAAGGCATAAAACACACAGGCACGTAAGTATGTGTCTATACCTTAGGTGTATATATGTATAGTGTATAAGTTTATACTTAATTTTGTTAGTAAATAGAATGTTTTAATCCTACCATGGGTTAGTTTCTTCTCAATAATTTTTATTTGCTCATTCCACTTTCTTGGTGAATAATCACTTTTCAAATTACACTCATGAAACATTCTCAATCACCTTAGTCGCCTGTTGAAGTTTTTATTTTTATTTAATTTTTATCATTTAAACTCTGTAGTTCAAATTACTGAGTATCAAATTAAGTTTTCATCCTGGAAGCTGTAGGAAAATTATTATTCCTTACAGTATTCTGCGTGGCTATTATCCTTAGCAGCCATTAACTCCCACAGGAAGTAAGGAAGTTATGAGATTTTTTTTTCTTGCACATTTCCAATAGGAGAAAAACGGAAAATGACTTAAAAGAAGAATAATAATACAATTATAAAATGGTAACTTGCTGTATTATTTCATGTACCAGGGCTGAGGGAACACAGAGAAAATCCAAATGCTGGACAATTTTGCTTTTTTATAACCTGAATAAATAAAGTTTTACCAACTTTATTAGAATATGGATAAACAAATGAAGTTAGCAAAGGATTTTAAGGAGAAAATTATCTTAATTCATCTTACAAAATAGCAAAGCTAGTAGACAGAGACAGACATAGTTTTATTTTGATTTTTTTGTTGTTTTTTTTGTTGTTGTTTTTTCATGTGTCTAACAGAAGCTATGGGACTGTGGTCTTTTCTGTAAAGGGATTTGAAATCCACAAGTACCAAGTGCTTTTCTATTGTACTCAAGGGAGCAGAATTACATTTGAAGGGTTGGGAACTCTCCAAACACATATGAAACTTGATGCTCCTAAAAGATTGTGCAGGCTGGAAGGTTAAATGGACTAAAGAAGGGTTTAGATAAATCCCTGAATGCCTGAGCCATAATCAGTCATTTACAAGCAATTAGACATTTAGAGATAGTGGTCTTCTGAAGATTATGTCACCACAAAGGCAAAAGTCCCTCAAGGACACTTTAAGAGTGGCAATTCTGACCAATCCTTTTATTCTTATCCTTAAACAGAAGTTCTGAGAATTTTCATATTCTGGGACATAATATACTTTATATATAAATGTGAGTTTTTGCTATGGTCCCTAGGAAACACAGCAGCTAGCCCAGGCTAAACCCAAAGTGGCGCTAAATATCTCTCACTAATTGAAGAATTCCAAATTAAATATTATGTACCACGAAAGAGAGACAATCATTCCTAGAGTTTATTTTCTGAAAAAAGATAGGTTTGAGACTCTATACATCTCCATCCTCCTTGGTCTATTCTCTTCCCCATAATCTCCTCTGTTAATAATATACTTAATTATAGAGATAATAAATATATAATTAAATAAGATTAAAGGAGAAAGAATCATGTAAAATAATTGAAAATAAAACCCACTTGACCCCCTTCTTCTGGGTTGCATTGCAGGTCCCAGAAACTTGAGTATATGATAGACAAATTGCAAAAATGTCCTAAAGTTTTTTATCCCTCCCTTTATCCATATCATTTGCAGTGTGATTTTGCAGTTCTTTTAATCAAGAGGTGGTCTATTTCCCCAATCCTTATTAGGGTGCCCTTGTGTAATAGTTAATTTCATATGTCAACTTGACTGGGCTAAGGGATGCCCAGAATGGAAATATTTTTGCTGGGTGTGTCTGTGAGGGTGTTTCTGAAAGATAGCAGCATTGGAATCAGTAGACTGAGAAAAGATATCCCTCACCAATGCAGGTGGGCACTATTCAATGGCTGAAGGACCTTAATAGAAGAAAAAGGTGAAGGAATGGTGAATTTGCTTTCTTTGATTGAGTTGGGATATTCATCTTTTCTTGTCCTTGGATATCAAGGCTCCTAAGTCTCAGGCCTTCAGACTTGAGCTGACACACCATTTTCTCCTCTGTTCTCAGGCCTTCAGGTTTGGACTGGAGCTATACCACTGGCTCTCCCAAACCTCAAGCTTATGAGTTTGTTAGCAATATGTTACCATAATAAGTATATAACTTTATACCTTCTTGTGTTCTTCCCTCTGTATTTCCTTGGTGATATTAAATTATTTTGAAACAAATGGCTGCATAACAAATTCAGGAGAATAAGGAGAAAGCTATAGGCTAAACTTAAGGTAATGAATCTGATGTATTGTTTGTTATTGAATGAATTGCATAAAATATGTGTAGATAAGTATATTTTACTGTTTGAGTTAGACCTTTAATTTCATTAGTGTAGGGCATCATCAACCAGCTTCTAGTTAAAAATGAAGTTCCAGGATTTCTGCTTCTACAAATGATTAACTAGATAATTTGGACACCTAAAAAAGCTGGAGGAAGTAAGAAAAAAACTCTGCTTAAAATTAGCAAAGCACTAACAACATGCTGAGGAATAACTAGCCTAAAGTCTCAAGAGAATTCCGAAGAAGACTGTCCAGCATTAAGAGCAGTTTTTTTGCTAGGATTTTTTGATAATTGGAATAAAGTGGTTGAAAGCCTGAGCTGAACTTTTGTCAGCATGAAAAAAGCTGGGGGAACAAAGGCTGTGTTTCAGAGCTTATCAAGGGTGACAATTCTTGTAAACCACCCTATGTGTTTTAGCTTAAAATGCTTACAGAAAGCATATTAGGAATAAGTAAGTACTAGAAATAAGCCAATTCAATGCTGGGTGAACCAAATGAATTTCAATTGTATTAAAATTATAATAAAATTGTATTAAGGTGATCCCTCTACATTGAGAGTATACCTGATTACGTGGAAACAGTAAATAGAAATCCCCTTGATAGATCCTTTTATCTTAGGCATTACATTATGTCTACAAATTGCCGGGACCAGCTTGGGCAGACCCTAACCCAGCTGTGCTAGAGGAATTAAAGACACATACACAGAAATATAGAGGTGTGAAGTGGGAAATCAGGGGTCTCACAGCCTTCAGAGCTGAGAGCCCTGAACAGAGATTTACCCACATATTTATTAACAGCAAACCAGTCGTTAGCATTGTTTCTATAGATATTAAATTAACTAAAAGTATCCCTTATGGGAAACGAAGGGATGGGCCAAATTAAAGGAATAGATTGGGCTAGTTAACTGCAGCAGGAGCATGTCCTTAAGGCACAGATTGCTCATGCTATTGTTTGTGGCTTAAGAATGCCTTTAAGCAGTTTTCCGCCCTGGGTGGGCCAGGTGTTCCTTGCCCTCATTCCCGTAAGCCCACAACCTTCCAGCATGGGCATTAGGGCCATTATGAACATATTACAGTGCTGCAGAGATTTTGTTTATGGCCAGTTTTGGGGCCAGTTTATGGCCAGATTCTGGGGGGCCTGCTCCCAACAACAAATAAGTTTCCAAAGTCAATGTTTAGCATGGAATCAAAGGTTATCAGGCATGTAAGGATGTAAGGTGATAGAGCAACATACACAACAACTAGCACAAGTTACAGATGTTAGAAACAGATAGAAATCAGGTAATATATGTATATATTATCAGATTCAAACTAGGAAAGAACTAGGCTTTTTATGTACATAAATAAAAGAATCAAACCTAAAACTTTTGGCAAGGAACTGGAAACTGTAAAATGTGACATGGCAGGTTTTTTTTTTTTTTTCTCAACTAGAAATTCTGGAACAGGAAAATTCAATATCTCCAATGAAAAATTCAATGGAGAGGTTCAATAGCAAAGTAGACGTAGCCAAACTGAGAATCAGTGAAATGAAAGATAGGTACAAGAAATTATCTCAAAGAGAGAATTGATATAGAAGAAGGATAAATATATATTTAATTGGAATTTTTAAGGAAGATGAAAATCAGAGGAAAAACATTTGGGAAGATAATGACAATTTTTTTTTTCAAATCTAGTACTGTCAATTTACAAATTCAAAGAATCCAAATAATTATAAATAGCATAAGTGAAAATAAACCTACTTGTAAATATATAATCATGAAACTGCAGAAACCCAAAGAAAAAAGAGAAAATCTTAAAAGTGGCTGTATGAACATAACAGATGTCCTACAAAGCAACTAAAGTTGGACTGGCAGCAGCAATCACAACAGAAATTATGAAAAACAAAGTGGAATTATCCACCCAGCAAAGATATCTTTCAAAAGTGGAATAAAATATTTTGGAATCAAAAAAAAGGAAAAAGAAGAAAAAGATGAAAACCATGAGTATTGTTGTACTAAAAACATAGTTAGAGATACTCTGTGGACAGAAATTCCAAGTGGAAGTTCCTCATTCCAAGTGAAAGCTCTCACAAGGAAATGGAGAAAGAACCATAGAAACTGCACATATGTGTATCAATCTAATTAAATATTAAACATTGACAGTGAAAAACAATGATAACAAATTAAGGGCTTTAAAATATATAGAAAACTAAAGTGTAAGAAGACAGTAGCATGTAAGTTGAGAGTGGGATAACTTGGATTGATGTAGTCAAAGTTCACTGCATTTTCTGGGAGGAGGGCACATATAACTCTAGAATTTAATAAGTTAAAAATGAAAATTGTAATCTAAGGTAACTACTAAAATAGTCATCAAGCAAATTAAATTTCTGAAGCATCAGGAGGATAAATCAATTTTTTAAAATTTAACCCTCTCTAAAGGCAAAAAAGAAAAACATAAACTAGACAATTAGAAATCATATTGAAATGTGGCATGTGTATCTGTGTGTATATATACGTATGTGTATATACACAGAATTTATACTTCAATACTACATTGATGTAAATGAACTAAATGCTGAAGTTAAAAGACAAAGATTGTCAGATAAGATTTTATTTACAAACTTAACTATAACCCATTTACTAGAGATATAACAAAAATAAGTTTAGAAAAATGGAAAGTAAACATACTGAAAATGATATCAGACATAAGTACTTCAAAAGAAAAAGGACAAAAAGGAGGGAGAGGAAAAGAAGAAAAAGGAGGGACAGAAGTAAAAGAACGAGAGAATGAAGGACAGAAGCCAGAAGAATGAGAGGAAGAAAGAAAAGAAAGAGAACAGGAAGAGGAGAAAAAGCAGCAGTATTAACATTGGAAAAAACAGATGTTTTAGGTAACAATTTTCGATAAGATAAGGAAGATCACTTAATAATAAAGCATTCTTTTTTTTTTTTTTTTTTGAGATGGAGTCTCCCTCTGTCGCTTAAGCTGGAGTGCAGTGGTGTGATCTTGGCTCATTGCAACCTCTGCCTCCTGGGTTCAAGTGATTCTCCTGCCTCAGCCTCCCGGAATAGCTGGGACAATAGGCGAATGCCACCACACCCAGCTAATTTTTTTTTGTATTTTTAGTAGAGACAAGGTTTCATCATGTTGGCCAAGCTGGTCTTGAACTCTTGACCTCACGTGATCCACTTGCCTCAGCCTCCCAAAGTGCTGGGATTATAGGCTTGAGCATTTAAGTTACCAGGAAAATACAATTCTATATTTGTATATATTTAATAACATATTCTTAAGTGAATATATATAAGGCAAAAATGGTAGAAGTAAAATAATTATAATGAGAGGTTTTAAACACCCTTATCTCTAATAGAAAGATACGGAAGATTTGGAAGATATGGAAGAGTAAGCTTAAAATCAACCAAATGGAACATCCTACCCAACAACTGCTGAGTGCACTTTTTTTTCATTCATGCACAGAATATTTATTAAAATTGGCCATGAACTTACACAGGAGAGTATATATTCGATCAGAGGGATGAATTCAGATCTATCTATCCATCCATTCATCGAGATAAATATAATGTAATAGATACATACATATTACATGTATTAATATGTTCTTAGAAATAAAAAGTATACTCATAAATAAGCTTTGGGTCAAAGAAAAAAATGAAAATATTAAAAACATACAACATCAAAACTTGTGAAATACAGCTAAAAACAATTATTGGAGGAAGTTTTATTTATATGTAAATAAACTGAGTACAAAGAAAGTAGAAGGAAGGAAATAAATGTAAGTACAAAGGTAAAGAGGCGTAAGATAGAGAAGATCAAAAATACCAAAATTTAATTTCTTGAAAAGGCTAAGAAAATTGATTCACTTCTGGTAAAATTAAGAAAAAGAAGAGAGAAAAGATACAAATAATCTCAGGGATGAAAACAGAAGTGATACTACAGATTCTGTGGCAAATCACAACATAATAAAACTTGTGAGAGGCAGGAGAGCAGGGCTTAGGTGAAAGTGTATATTCATATACAAAGAAAACTAAAGAAAGTAGAAGAAAAGAACAGTAAGTGAAGAATAAGTATACAATGCGGAGAAGTGACAAAGGAAAAATTTGATTTTGAAAAAGGCAGTAAAGTGTATATTCCTCTGGTGTGATTAATGAGGAAAAAAAAAACAAAAAATAACACATAGTTGCAGAATTGCAAAGAAGGATATCAATACAAATACCAGAACATTAAAAAGATTATAAGAGGATATTAGAACTTTTTTTTTGGTTTACGTTTTTTTTGAATTATTTAATTTTTTTTGTTTTTAATTTCCAACTTTGAAGTTCAAGGGTACATGTGCAGGATGTGCAGGTTTGTTAAACGGGTAAATGTGTGCCATGGTGGTTTGCTTCACAGATCACCTTATCACCCAGGTATTAGTCCTAGCATCCATTAGCTAGTCTTCCTGATCCACTCCCCGACCTTATCCCCTACGCTCCAGCAGGCCCCAGTGCATGTGGTTCCCCACTATGTGTCCATGGGTTCTCATCATTTAGCTCCCACTTGTAAGTGAGAATGTGTGACATTTGGTTTTGTGTAGCTCCCACTTGTAAGTGAGAACGTGTGACATTTGGTTTTGTGTTCCTGCATAAGTTTGCTAAGGATAATTATCTCCAGCTCCATCACGTCTCTGAAAAGGCACATGATCTCATTCCTTTTTATGGCTGCATAGTATTCCATGGCATGTATTTTGTTGCTTTTAGATAAAACTCTAACAGATGACTAGAAAAAATACAACTGTCTAATTTTATATAAGATAAAGTAGAAAATATAAATGGCTTTATATTTATTAAATAAATTAAACTTGTTATTTTAAAAAACTCACAGAAAAAATTTCTGGCCCAAAGAATTTAAGTGCAAATTATAAACCATGAAAAATGCAAATCTTAGACAATTATTTTTAAGGAAATAGATGGGGGAAAAACTTCTTGTTTTATGAAGATGTCATCATCCTGTTACCAAAACTTGATAAGATCTAGAATAAAAATTATACACCAGTATTCCTCATGAACATTTGTACCAAAATTCCTGAAAAATATTAGTGAATTAACTGTAGAAACATATTGAGAGGGTTGTATATTAAAACTAAGAATGCATAGTGGATTTACCATTTTATTTTATTTTATTTTATTTTATTTTATTTTATTATGATTATACTTTAAGTTTTAGGGTACATGTGCACAATGTGCAGGTTAGTTACATATGTATACATGTGCCATGCTGGTGTGCTGCACCCATTAACTCGTCATTTAGCATTAGGTATATCTCCTAATGCTATCCCTCCCCCCTCCCCCCACCCCACAACAGTCCCCAGAGTGTGATGTTCCCTTTCCTGTGTCCATGTGTTCTCATTGTTCAATTCCCACCTATGAGTGAGAACATGCGGTGTTTGGTTTTTTGTCCTTGCAATAGTTGACTGAGAATGATGATTTCCAATTTTATCCATGTCCCTACAAAGAACATGAACTCATCATTTTTTATGGCAGCATAATCAGTGAAATTCACTATATCAATGGATTAAAAAAGAAATATCGTTTTACTTCCTGCCACCAATGTACAAGTGATCGTTTCTCTGCATTCTCATCAGCATTTGGGGCTGTCACTATTTTTTACTTTATCCATTCTTATAAATGCCTAATATCTGTTTGACAGCTTCTTAGAAATGTAATAAACAATTGCCATAATTAGACCTAGCAATTTGCAGGACTTACATAATATGATTTCAAAACCCATCATAATGCTTTAGGAATCTAAACTGGGATATTTTAACATAAGAATAAGTGAATAAGCCAATACATAGAATAGAGAGTCCAGAAGTAAATTCATAAATTCATGTAAGTTGATTTTTAAAAAGCAAAAAGGCACCAAGGCAATTCAGTGGGGGAATGGCAATTCTGCTTAATAAGAGGTACTGAGGCACCTGGATGCATCTAAAAAAAAAAAAACAAACAAATCTCAACTCTTCCCTTACACCTTCCACAAATGTTAGTTGGAGATGGATTTTAGAAGTCAACGTAAAATTGAAAATTATGATGATCCTAGATGAAAATGTAGCAGAATGTCTTGGTAAATTTGAAGTAGGCAGATATTTTCTTAGATTTGATTAAAAATGCACTAAACAAAAAAGTAATGTATTCCTTTTGATGGAAATCAACATTTGTGCTCTTTAAAAGGCATCATTTGAAAAATGAAAAGGCAAATGAAGAAGTGGGCAAAAATATTTTTGGCACATAATATATATGATAAATGATTTATAGCATTAAAATTATGTGAGCCTGATCATGTATAGTCCATATTTCATATACTTTTCTGTGTGAGAATTAAAGTTCCCAATAAAAGTTTAAAGCAGGCAAACAAAAATAGCAAAAAATGTTTTTTAGACAGTTTCTGGAATAGTGTGCAGGTGTGACCTTGCACAAAAATAGCACCCTTTCCACACTGGATTTATCAGCTGTTTTTTGATTCTACAAATACAGTCTCCCTTTATGAAAAGACAGGTGAAATTAGATAGAAATTTCCCTCTGAAGTATTTTATAGACAGTCAATCTAGAAGGTGTAATCAATCTAGAGACACATACTGTTTCATACAGATATACATACAGACATACAGATTTTCTAAAAAATATCAGTATGGGTTTTTTTTATTAATGTGCTATTCTAGTATCTTCTTTTTAACATGATAAAGACTCTTGCCTTGGGTAGCTTGGATGTCTGAAATGCGTCATTGGTGAGGCACTTTGTTTTCTAGCTTTTTGCATAACTTGAAGGAGAAAGTGATTACTCTGTCCAGTCATTTGAGACTTAGCACAGCCCTGTTGCACAGCGGGCTGCTTAAAGCGTTCTTAATGACAAGTTAATTCCTCCTCTCAAATGTATTTCACTGGCAGTTTAAATGGAAAATGTAATTAAAGGCCTTGTGTATATGCAATTTCAGCTAGCTACCAGATTGGGTATCCTGGGTATTAAGCTCCTATATTTTTTCTGAGTCTTTTTTACTTCCGAAGTCTATGCTGACTGCTATTGATGAAATTGAGGCCATTTCTACCATGGAACAACCTGCTGATTCTACCTTCATTGATTTTTGGCTTTGGCTGTCCACAGGGAGTAATTGTGAGAATCCCTTAGAGAACAGGGAAAGATTGCAACCCCAGTGTTCAGGCTGCTTCTGTCGTCAAGTAACTTTCAGAACATTTCCATAACCTAATTGTGCTCAGATTCAAGGAAAACAGAATATTTAGTTTGGTCAAAAAGGAAAATATACCTAAGTAGGTTCTAAAATTGCAGCCTCATAACGTTTATATATTATTTTAGTTTAGTATATTTTTAACTGGAAAGCACTATACTAACATCATAAACAATTCAAGCAATATAACTATACATACAATGAAAAATCAAGTCTTCCTTCTATTTTGGAACCTCTACTCTCCTTCCTTGGGGCCAACACTCTAAGTGCCTTTTTATATACCACCAGAAAGAGTTTTTATGCATGTACACATTTAACAATACATATTATAGGTATTATACGTACATTTAAAAACAAAACACAAAGGGAAGAATAATTATGAATTATGAAGAATAATTATGAATAACTTCATAATGTGTTTTTAAAACTTATTTTTAATTTACACATGATGAAATTCACTTTCTGTTAGACAGTTCTATGAGTTTTGATAAATGCATAGAGTTGCAGAACGACACAACTAAAATACAAAACAGTTCTATCATCCCTCTCCCTGAAAATACTCTCCCATGATATCTCTTGTAGTCAAATCCTCCCTCTACTTTTCTGGCTCTAACTAATATGTTTTCCTCTCTCTAACTGCCTTTCTCAAAATGTCATATAAATGGAATCATGCAGTATGTAGCCTTTTCAGTCTGGCTTTTTTTCACTTAGAAATATGCATTTGAGATTCACCTGTGCTGTTGCATGTACTGGTAGTTTGTTTCTTTTCATTGCTAAATAGTATTCCATTGTATGGATGTACCACAGTTTGTTTACCCATTTCCCAGTTGATAGACAACTGGGTTGTTTCTACTTCTTGATGATTAAGAATAAAGTCATTATAAGTATTTCAGACAGGTTTTAGTGGAAAACAGTTATTATTTGACTTGGGTAAATACCTAGGAGTGGGTACATATTGCTTTTAACTTGATATATTTTGAATATCATTTAATATTAACATTAAACACACATACCCCACCCACACACACATATGCTACAAACCATCTTCTCTGAAGAGTCTCTAACTTAGATTCTAGCCCCTCTGTTGTTGCCCAGAAATGTTCCATGGGGTTAAGGGAGGTATGAGCTTAATTTTTCTTCTTTTCTTTATTGTAATTTTCTAATTTCCTAAAATGAACAAGTTTGTATTCTACATAATAACAGCAACAACAACACTGGGATTTGGTCTAATTTCTGAAAGTTCATCTTAAAAAATGATTCTGAATATAACTGGCTGGTTTAAATTTTTCAAATCTTTAAAAATTTAATCACTAAATTCAAGCAGCAGTTTTTCATGGTTATTTGAGCTTAGAAATACAAACTGCCTAACCTATTGGAGCATTTGGTTTATTGAAGTTTTCTATTCATTCTTTTGTCCCATGTTGAGATCCAAATAATTCACTTACAAGTGAGCTTGGCCAATTTGTCTGACTTGGCTGGTTACAGCAATTCAAAGTCACTTAATTCAGTAAAATAACTGTTTATATGAAGTAATAACAGAAAATAACTGGCTGTATGTTTTAGAATTGTGTATATAGTCATCAGATAATTTTCCCCAACCCAAAAATATTGATGAGCACATCCAGAAGTTTACATTCAGGAAACATAAGCAGGAGTTCATAATGTGTTTTAGCATCCAACCCTCAGTCAGAGTGCTGCTCTCATAAATGTACTTGTGGTCATCTAAAAGCATTTCACCTTTTTGATTTATAGATAATATGGTAGTAATAAAATTAATTTGAGGCATTTACCATATGTAGTCTCATCATATTTTTACTTATAGGAACTATATGATGAAAGAAAATCCCTGTCATATATTCCTTGTGTTGTAGGCTGAACCTTAACCCCCAATTCTTCAGCCTATGCCTGAGATAGGGTCTTTATCAAAATGATTAAGCTAAAATGAGATCATCTGGGTGAACTCTAATTCAATATGACAGGTGTCTTTATAAGAAGAGGAGATTAAGACACATGTGTGCAGCCACACACACACAGGCAGACTGAGAGGCAACCATGTGAGATCACAGTGAGAAGATGGTCATCTATAAGCCAAGGAGAGAGTCTTCAGAAGAAACAAATCTGCTGACCCATTTATCTTGAATTTCTAGTCTCCAGAATTGTGAGAGGATAAATATCTGTTGTTTAAGCCACCCAGTCTGTGGTATTTTGTTATGGCAGCCCTAGCAGACTGGAATACTTGATCACCATGTGGTACTTACTGTCTACTCTTCCTGATAGAGTTTTAAATATCACAGCCTGAGCTTCCACTATGATAACTCTGCTTAAAGTAAAATAGAAAAATAACAATTATCTCTATGGTTATAAAAGAATTATTAGCAAATGATACACATGGATTGGCAACTTCTGTAATACATAGGAAGTTTAATATTGGAATACTTACCATAATTCCAATTTAGGGCACTTTCACAAACATTTATTGGGTTCTTGCTAAGTAGACTCTGTACAAAGATTTAGGGACTCAAAAGTCCACACATACTAGTCTCTATGCTTATGGAATAGTCAGGGAGATATTACCATGAAAATAAATAACCAGAGGAAGGTATTTATTTTTGTTGCCATAATAGCAGCATGGATGGGTACAATTAGAGAATGGGAATGGCTACCTATCCAACAGTGTGGAATTAAGGGTGTTGTAGTAGATCTGAGAATGATTCTATGAGAAATCAATACTGTAGGAGAGACTTAAAGGTCAAGAAAGAGTGTGTTTGTTGTGTTAGTCTGTTCTTACATGGCTATAAAGACATACTCAAGTCTGGGTAATTTATAAAGAAAAGATGTTTAATTCACTTGCACTTCCATATGGCTGGGGAGGCATCAGGAAACTTACAATCATGGTGGAAGGGGAAGCAGGCACATCTTACATGGCAGTGGGCAAGAGAGAGCATGTGTGAGCACAGGAAAAACTGCCACTTATAGATGCGAATTCACTTACCATCCTGAAAACAGCGTGGGAGAAATGTTATGCTTTGGCTGTGTCCCCACCCAAATCTCATCCTGAATTCCCACATGTTGTGGGAGGGTCCCGGTGGGAGGTAACTGAATCATGGGGGCAAGTCTTTCCTGTGCTGTTCTCATGATAGTAAATAAGTCTCATGAAATCTGGTGGTTTTAAAAAGAGGAGTTCCCCTACACAAGTTCTCTCTCTTTGCCTGCTGTCATCCATGTAAGATGTGACTTGCTCCTCCTTGCCTTCTGCCATGATTGTGAGGCTTCCCCAGCTGCATGGAACTGTAAGTCCAATTAAACCTTTTTCTTTTGTAAATTACCCAGTCTTGGGCGTGTCTTTATTAGCAGTGTAAAAACAGACTGATACAGGGAAACTGTCCCCATAATCCAATCACTTCCCTCACTCCACAGATGGGGATTACAATTCAAGATGAGATTTGGGTGGGGACACAGAGCCAAACCATATCATCTGTTTTGCATTGCCATACTTGAGACTGGGTAATTTATAAAGAAAAGAAGTTTATTTGGCTCATGGTTCTGTGTGCTATACAAGAAGCATGGCACCGGCATTGCTTCTGGTGAGGGTCTCAGGAAGCATCCAATCATAGTGGATAGTGATGGGGAAACAGGAGTGTTACATGGTGAGAAAGGGAGAAAACTGATATACCAGGCTTTTTTAAACAACTGGCTCACACGTGTATTAACAGAGAACTCACTCATTACCATGGAGAGGACATCAAAGCCATTCATCAAGGATCTGCCCTCATGACCCAAACACCTCTCATCAGGCTCCACTTCCAACCTTGAGGATCATGTTTCAACGTGAGATTTGGAGGGGACAATTATCTTAACTATATGAAAGAAGCAGGTAGCATGAGGAAGGGAAAGGATGTCCCTGGCAATGGAGAGAACATGGACAAATGCATGATGGTGAAAGCCTCATGAAAAATTCATCATATTGCACATAGTTTGGTCTCACTAGAGCATGAGATAGGAGGCAAGCGGTGGTAAGAATGAGAGGGGAAAGGTAGACAACATTCAGGATATTGAGAACTTTGTAAATTGTAGTAAAGACTTTAATGAGTTTTAAGATGAAATTGGCACAATCACATTTGCATTTTTGGACAGATCCGTCTGTCAGGGGGTACTGAGGGTAAATTGGACAGGGTCAAGACTGAAGGCAGGGAGACCCCCACAAGGTCACTCAAATAGTTCAGAAAGGAAATAGTGATATTCAGAAGTAAGAAAGTCTTGACTGAGAGGAAGAACTTGAAATATCTAGGACTGGGAAGGCAAATTACTCTTGAGTGTCAACTCCAATCACCTGCCTGGTGGTATCTACGAAGAGTGCTTTTTGGAGGAATTAGTAGTGGTAAGTTTAATATTAGCAGAAAAGCGTATTGTGATTTGTTAATCATGTCTGCATAGGCCTAATAGGGAGATACAGGTGCTTTTCATGTAGTTACCTGACCTGATTTCAAAGGGAAAAATCAGAAAGCCCAGAGAAATAATAGGATGTTGGAGAGTGTGAGAAAAGGAGCCAAAGGTCACTGTCAGATTTCTAATTTGAGCTGCTGCATAGATTTTACTGAGTCTTACTAATATGAGAAGGGAAGAAGGTTTTGCACGGTATATGTGTCTGTGAACATTTGTGCACATATCTATGTATTTGGGGGCAAAGTTCCATTTTTCATT
Source organism: Homo sapiens (assembly GCF_000001405.40). Lineage (NCBI taxonomy): Eukaryota > Metazoa > Chordata > Mammalia > Primates > Hominidae > Homo > Homo sapiens. The sequence continues at coordinate 53,660,870 of NC_000018.10, read as the reverse complement.
ACAGCGAGGTGGAATTCCCTACAGGACATTCAGGTAGAGATGTAAATCCCTACAGGACATTCAGGTAGAGATGTAAATCAGAGAGTTAGCTATGTAAATTATTCTGAAGCTAAGAGAGAGTTAGAGAATCATAGTTAAGAGTGATTAGCCTATTGGCACTCGGTTTAAAAAATCAGGAAATCTAGGAGAAAATCAAACATGAAAGATGTTTTTTCAACATGTCAAGTTTACCTTAATTTATTTTTAATTTTAATTATTTTTTTTAAAGAATGGTTTCTTGCTGTGTCACCCAGGCTGGAATACATTGATAAGATCATAGCTCATGGCAGCCTCAAATTCCTGCGCTCAAATAATCCTCCTGCCTTCCCTCTCAAATAGCTGGGACTACAGATGTACATCACTGTGCCTAGCTGATGTTAAATATTTTTTGTAGAGATGAGTCTTGCTATGTTGCCCAGGCCGATTTTGAATCCCTGGCCTTAAGTGACCCTCCCACCTCAGCTTCCCAAAGTGTTGGGATTATAGGCATGAGCCATCATGTCTGGTCCTTAAATTTCTTAATATAGAGCAAAGGACAAGAGTCAAATCTCTAGTCTATTTCTGTTCTCTGGTGTCTTCCAGGGAAGATAAATAACTTTCCTTGGACTCAATATTTCCACAACCAAAATGGAAATAGTGTGACACTTTTTTTATTTTTATCTAAGAAATATTGAGCTAGATCATTTCGATGCCTAATCTTTAAATCAATATTCTTTGCCATTGGGTTGACTCCTCCTAAGTACTTAGTAAATGATGTATTAACAATTCACAGCCCTAATTAATGACATATTTATAAAGGATTCTACAAATCCTAATTTAGTTTTGAGAATAAATATACTTATTATTATAATCAAAGTCAGGTCAGCAAACCATACATTGTGATTCTTACATTTGTATTGATGACATTGAGCCTTCTTCAGTAAAAATATGAGAACTTATCTTTTTAAGAAATTTTAATTCTCAGTCTCCTAAGATTCCCCTCAAGATAGAACATTTCCTCCTTTCAACTGTGATTAGATGCTCCCCTCATTAAGGATCATATCTAACACATCTTGGGCCAGGTGTAGGACTCTCATCCATTCTATGCCTCCTGCCCAGGCAGCCCTACATTTCCAGAGCCTGATATCTCCTTAGGAGTTGGGGAAATTTTCCCACTGGCCACTTCACTCTCATCTTCTCAGAACATGTCTTTTATTAGCAAGCATGAGAAGGCAAGGAAAATTAACTTTCATACTGACAATAATAACTGGGTTTTGTATTTTATTATTTATTTTGTATTTGTAGATTTTGTCATAATAATTACTTTGAAATCTTTTCTCAAGCCCAGTGTCTACAATATACTATGATTGTTAAGGTACCTAGAAGCAATGTATTTGTCCAATTATTTTAATATTGATACAGTTTTTATAGAATATTGATTTAAGAATTATTTATATTGCCAGATACTATACACCTTGGCAAAGAATGTATTCTGATGAATACTTCATTAATTATAAGGATGAGTAAAAATTAATTCTTGTGAATTATGATGATTTGAGGTTTAAACATACAGATAAAATGCCTTATGCCAATTATTGAAATTAAAGATACATATGTTCATAATGATAGCATTATTAATGATATGATTCTCGGATATGTGTGTGTGTATACTGTAAGCCAGGGAATCAATCATTTCAGAATGGAGAGAGATTGAAAGAGTCTGACACCTGTCAGATTTAGTCTGTAAATTTAGGTCTTTGAGTGATTACTCGGCTGGTAATCGATCAGTAGCAGATAGAGCTGCTTTACAGTAAGAAGCAAAATCAGCATGCTTAGCTCTTAAGATTTATTTTAAAAGTCTTATAAGAAATGTCTGGCATTTCCACATCTGGGTTCTCAGTTGTGATGACAGGTAAAACTTGAATGATCCTTTGCTTTGGGATTGCAAGTGGCCATGGGGAGCTATAAAATAAGAGATCCATTAAATGACCAACGATAGTAAGATGTAGATTCTTCTAATCCAACTGAAGGTGCTACAGAATTTTGATGATAGTGACATTATAGTTGTGGGGGCAGTGGACCATTTAAGGGAATAAAAGTCTATGTTTTCTTAGAGAAATTACTGTTTCATATTTTCAAATATAAAGATATTGAATTAGAGTTTCCCCACAACTGTAATGTCACTATCATCAAAATTCTGTACCATCTTCAGTTGAATTAGAAAAATCTACATCTTCTTAAGCTGGAAACCATCATTCTCACAAACTAACAGAGGAACAGAAAACCAAACACCGCATGTTCTCACTCATAAGTGGGAGTTGAACAATGAGAACACATGGACATAGGAAGAGAAATATCACACACGGGCCTGTTGGGGGGTGGGGGACAAGGGAATGGAGAGCATTAGGACAAATACCTAATGCGTGCGAAGCTTAAAACCTAGATGACGGGGTCGATAGGTGCAGCAAACCACCATGGCACATGTATACCTATGTAACAAACCTGCACATTCTGCACATGTATCCCAGAACGTAAAGTAAACAACAACAACAAAATCTACATCTTCTTATCTCTGGTCAATTATTGGGTCTCTTATTTTATAAAGTCTTTAAAAGAAAAATCTTAAAACCTAAACATGCTTATTTTGCTTCTTATTGTAAAACAGCTTTATCTGCACTGATGGCTTCATATTTTGAAATTGCATTTTTTCAATATGTGTAGATATCATTTCTGAAGCTAGTTAATGTGTTTCATCTCAAATTTACTCTGCCCTTTGAAACTATAAATTCTTCAGTGTAATCAGGGAAATTGTTCAGAAATCACGGTGTGATGGTTCATTCATTAGCCCAGATCATGAGTTCCAGATTTAGTAAAATCGTCATTCACACTGATAGACATCAGCATTGATGGTGTAGGTAACTGTTGGAGTGACTGGTAGCCAGAGACATTGCCATAGTAACATGGGGCAGGAAAGCTGGGGAAATGGGGAACATCATCTGTGAAACAATGCAGCCAGTTTGCAGACATTCTCGGGACACCCAGTGGACTTTGAGGACAGGAGTTTAAGAAGAGCAGAAGAGGGGCTGGGCATGGTGGCTCATGCCTGTATTCCCAGCACTTTGGGAGGCTGAGGCGGGTGGATTGCTTGAACTCAGGAGTTTGAGACCAGCCTGGGTGACATGGCAAAACCCTGTCTCCACCAAAAATACAAAAAAAAATTAGCTGGGCATGGTGGCATGTGCCTGTAGTCCCAGCTACTCATGAGGCTGAGATGGTAAGATAGCTTGAGCCTGGGAGGCGGAGGTTGCAGTGACCTGAGATCTCACAACCGCACTCCAGCCTGGGAGATAGAGCCAGATCCCATCTCAATAGCTTCCTGGCTGCTGTAATGAATTACCACATACTTGGTAGATTCAAACAACAGATATTTATTCTCACACAGTTCTAGAGGTCAGAAGTCCAAGACTAGTTTCACTGGTCTAAGATCAAGGTGTCAGCAGGGCCATTTTCCCTCTATAGGCTCTCAGGGAGAATCTGATTATTCTCTACCTCTCCTGGGTTTGGGTGGCTGCCAAGATGCATTGGCTTTTGGCCTCATCACTTTATTCTCTGCATCCAACTTCATAGTGACTTCTTATTTTTTTTGTCTGTGTCAAATCTTTTCTGTGTCTCTCTTGAGGACACTTGTAATAAGGATTAGGGCCTATCTGTAGGAGAATCTCCCCAGGTCAAGGTCCTTAATTTAATTAGATCTTCAAAGACTCTTTCTTTTCTTTCTTTTCTTTTTTTTTTTTATTATCCTTTAAGTTCTAGGGTACATGTGCACAATGAGCAGGTTTGTTACATATGTTACATATGTTACATATGTTACATGTGCCATGTTGGTGTGTTGCACCCATTAACTCGTCATTTACATTAGGTACATCTCCTAATGCTATCCCACCCCCCTCCCCCCACCCCATGACAGGCCCTGGTGTGTGATGTTCCCCTTCCTGTGTCCAAGTGTTCTCATTGTTCAATTCCCACCTATGAGTGAGAACATGCGGTGTTTGGTTTTTTGTCCTTGCCATAGTTTGCTGAGAATGATGGTTTCCAGCTTCATCCGTGTCCCTACAAAGGACATGAACTCATCCTTTTTTATGGCTGCATGGTATTCCATGGTGTATATGTGCCACATTTTCTTAATCCAGTCTATCATTGATGGACATTTGGGTTGGTTCCAAGTAACTCTTTTTCTTTGTAAAGTAACATTTAAAGGTTCCAAGGAATAGGACCTGAAAACTTTGGGTGGCCATTAACCACATAAGAGGAGGCAACAGCAACAGCAATTAAAAAGAAATGAAACAGCAAATCATGGGACAGCAGCTTCAACTTTCACTCCTTATCTTAATTGCCTATTTTAAAATTTTGTTTTTATCCTCATCACTATTTCAGGCCACCTTCTCCACTTAGTTTAGTTCTGTCATCCTAGCAAATGTTCTTTATCTGGGCAGCTTTATGAAACCAAACTCAGGCCCAACCTCTAACCAATCAAAATAGAAATTTTGGGAATGAGGACTGGGCATCAACTTTTTTTAAAGCTCAGGTGATTCCAACATGAAGCTAGGGTTAAGAACCACTACTATAGAGGGATAAAAATTATGTTTGTTTTATGTGACAATGTCATATATTAGAAATCATTGACTTTGAAACCTGGGGTTGAATCTTTAATATTTATTAGCTATAGAACCTTGGGCAAGATACTCTGCTGCCTGGGTTTATTGTAAATATTAATAGTAAATTAATATGTGTGTGCATGTTTATATATTCACTTATACTTAATTTTTATGCATATCCATGTATAATATAAGTAATATGTGTTGAATGAATGAATGAATATCAGTAACTATGCTAAGTGTTATAACACTAGGCTAATTGCTGGTGGTAAAATTAGAGATATGATCACTTTCCTTGTGCAACTTACACTGTAGTTGGGAAAAGAGGCATTTATCTAATAAAGTCCCCCAAAGATGTGATACTGAGGAGGAACAATGATATACAACTCTGCAATGGCATTGGTGGTGTTTTCACTCAGTCACAAAGGTCATGGAAAACTCCCCTAAAGTGGTGATACTTGCACTGAGGTCTGAAAAATAAGCGGGGATTATTTAGGCAATGTGTGGAGGGAAAAGATTCTGGGAAGAGGAACCAGCATATGCAGAATGCTTGCTGGGTAAGAGAGCAAGGTGAAACACGTGGGCTATTGCCAAGCCAGGGACCTGTCCAGAGAGTGCAGTGCATGACCAGACAGGGAAGGCAGCAACAGTTATGGAGCAGTCTGTACAGGAATTCATAAGCCATGTTGGGGAATCCTGCCTTCTTCCCAAATGCAATGGAAAGCCACTCAAGAGTTTTAATCAGGAATAGTCAGGAAATGGGGGGTGGCTATGTTAGTCTGGGACTTGGAGAGGGACCAGAATAGATACAAATAAACCAGTGAGTGTGTTATTGGGGTAGTCCAGTAAAAGACGATAGTAGCTTAGAGCGGGATGATAATAAAGAGATGAAAAAGTATAGATGGATTAAAGACATATATAGGAGATAAAACTGATTAGACTTGGTGTGGGAGGGTATGAGAGAAACCAACGATGACTCCTACATTGCTGGTTTGTACAACTGGATATAGTGAGTCATTTAATGTGATGAAAAACTTGGGAAGAGAGGGTCAGGGAAGATCAGCAGATTTGTTTTTGATGATCAGCAGATTTGTTTACTTTGATATTTCTGTAAGTTATTTAAGAGGAATTTCAAGTTGGCATTTGGATATGCAGTCTGTAGCAAAGAAAAGAAGCTTAGACTAAAAATAAGTATTTATGAGTCATCTTCATATAAGTAGTAATTAAAGCAACAAATAAATGAGATTTCCTAGGGAGAGAACATTGGGTGAGAAGATATGAGAGCTCAAGGTTGAGTCTTAAAAACTACAGTATCTAATGGCCTAGGCAGAAAAGGACAAAAGCTTGCAAATTTGACAAAGACTATCAGAGAGGCAAGAAAAAACAGCTGGAAAGTATTTATCAAGGAATTCTGCAAAACGTAATTTTAATTACAAGGGAGTATTCAAGAGGTTTGAATATTGATTAGAAGTGAGGTAAGATGAGAACTGGGAAAAATCCATAGTATTTAACGACATGGAGGCATGATGATCTGCAGAAGAATAGTACTAGGGAGATAGATAAACAGCAAGTCAGATCGCAAGTTATTGAAAAATGCGTGGCAGATGAGAAATGAAAACACAGTGTAGGTGAATGTTTTGAGAAGTCTGATTGTGAAAAGAAAACGAGAGAGTACCTTACTCAGTGGAGCTGAATGGTGGAGGGATTTTTGCTACATTCTTAATTTGTTTTAATGAGACAGATTAAGAGCATTTAATAATAATGAGAAAAAACTACCAGGGAGGGAGAAGTTGGATTATAAGAGTAACAGCATGTGTTCTTGAAAAGAAACTCGATTGGCCTTGGATAGGAGAAGCAAATTCTGCTTACCTAAAACTGAAAAGAGGCCAGGTGCAGTGACTCATGCCTGTAATCCCTAAAACTTTGGGAAGCTGAGGTGGTAGGATCACATGAGCTCAGGCGTTCAAGGCCAGCCTGGGCAACATAGGGAGACCCCATCCGTTAAAATAAATAAATAAATAAATAAAAATTAGCTGGGTGTGGTGGCATTCACCTGTGGTCCCAGCTACTTCTGAGGCTGAGGTAAGAGGTATCCTTTGGGCCCAGGAGATCAAGGCTGCAGTTCACTATAATTGCACCACTGCACTCTAGCCTGGGCCACAGAGCAAGACCCTGTTTCTAAGTAAATAAATAAATAAAACTAAAAAGAGAGAATGGGATGGACACAGATAAAGTTGGTTTATAGGCTTGGTCTCAGGGAAACAGGCATGCTCCTATCTAATAAGTTCTGTATTCTCTACAAAGTTAGAGGGTGAGTAATTCATCTACTGAGAGGGGAGTAGAAAGGAGAATGATCAGAATTTCGAGGTAAGGGGAAGGTTTGGAATAGTCATTGTTCAGTGTTCCAGGAAAAAAATTCCAGCCTGACCAACATAGCAAAATCCTGTCTCTATTACAATACAGAACAGTAGGCGGGCATGGTGGTATACATTTGTATTCCCAGCTACTCTAGAGGCTGAGGCATGAGAATCACTTGAACCCAAGAGGAGGCAGAGGTTCCAGTGAGCCAAGATAGTACCACTGCACTTCAAACTGGGCAACAGGGCAAGACTCCATCTCAAAACAAACAAACAAAAGTATTTTCTCTGTTGAAAAGAGAAACAGAGTAGAATTTTTAGGTACAAGGAAAGCATCAATTAAGGTGGATTTTTTTGTTCGTTCATTTGTTTTTGTTTGTTTGTTTGTTTGTTTGTTTGTTTTTTAGGTATAACCTTGTATTGCCTAATTTCATGAAAGCTCAGTTGCTCAGGGCAGAGTTGAGAGTCGAACCCACCCAGGGATGGGGGGAAAAGAGAAGTTAAGAATCTACAAGAATGCTAGTAACACAACACAGCAGATTAGATCCTCTATAAAACCAACAGTTTCACAACTCATTCTCTCCCCAGCCTACCCATAATGCCTATTTCAGACCTTTCCCCTCTCCTCAGAGTTCTATCCTTCTTTTCTCATTACCCTCTCAGAAGATGAGAGCCCCTCTTACTTTATGGAAAAAAAACATATGGTTCAATAGAAATTACCCATTTTCCTAAGATGAAGCATTCAAACGAGATTATCATGGATTCTGAGCTTGATGAAGAGGAGAGTGAAGAAATGACAGGGTTGATGGATTGGGTGTTCCCTTCCCCACATATTTTTTACAGAAATATTCATGATTTCATTAAGTTTCTATGAATTCTTTCTAATCTAAACATTCTATAGTTTTGAAGAATTAGAAAATTCCTCTACTAATACGGTCACCTGTTTGATCTTTCACTGACTTTTTTTTTTCATGAGTTTTCATGGTGAATAAAGAAATGCTTTTAAATATAGATAGCTTTTCACATAGAAATAGCTTAGACCCCTCTTTCATGTCCTAAGGACATGACAGTGCCTGCTTAGTTCAGATGTTTAAGGCATGATGTTAATGAGGCCAGGCCCATTTAATGACACTCTCCTGCCTGGCTTCAGACTGACCTCTTCCCCCCTGCCCTGGTCAGCTTTCTCGTCTAATCAGATCATTAGTCTCACAGGTGAATGGAAGCAAATGGAGCAAATGGCTACAAATACACCAACTGTATGGAAAGAAAGTGCAGCTCTCATGCTTTCTGGATGGGCTGTTCTTATAAAAGAATAGATATCTTTATACGGGAACTTAGTATTTTCAAAGTCTCTTCACATCTGTTATCCACTAATTTTTTGAAGCAGAAAGAACATGATAATAATAATCTCCATTTTTTCAGACATGAAGTCTGAGGTTCAGTGGTGCCAAGGGACTTACCCATCAAAGTAGTTATATTAGGCATGCCTTTTATTTTCTGTATTCTGGTGCTTGAACATCGGGGCCTTGCTGACTCTGAAGGGACTGCCCCTCTCAGGCACAGCCAATCCCTGGATAGCAAACTCATCCACAATATTCTTTCCAAATACACACTGCCAATCCAAAGCCTGCCCTCATACTAGCTCCTTATAGCCCCTTATATCTGGATTACTCTCTATCTGCCTAAATTACCCCAGGGGCAGGTGCCACACAACCAGGGACAGTCCCCAAGCCCTAGAGCCAGCCTACAGCCTGCTGAAGTTATTCAAACTAACCCATGCTAAGCCTGAGTACCCTGCCTTGCCCATCTCTTCCAACCAAAATAACAATAAAGGCTCTTGTCTGTGTTTTCCCACCTTCCTCTACCTCCTGACTGACCCCAGGGCTTCCCAGTGTGGCTCCCTGTGGTGTGTCACAGCACCTCCTTTGGGGACTGTGAATAACAGGCTGTCTTTCCAATGGTAGTCTTCTCCTGAGCTGTTGGCCTTACTATGCCTCCAATTTTTAAAAAAATCAATACACTATACTTTAAAACATAGGATGGCTTCAAAGTTACGTAGCCATATTTAAAATCCAGGTTTGGATCCTTTCCATTTCACCACTCTATTGCACTGTGGGTGGTGGGGCAAGAAAAACACATCCTGTCTGTATTCACTGGATTAATTCATTCATGAAATGTACATACTCAGAGACCCCAGAATATGCTGGGCAATACACAGCACTGAATATATTGATAAAATAAATTATAGACAAAATGGACAGACAGAAAATAAGCAAAAAACACCTGAATAATTACAAATTATGACAAACGCTGTAGGTGAAATGGAATAATCTAATGTTTTTTAATTTTTTTGTTTTGTTTTGTTTTACTTTATATTGGGAGCCAGAAGAGATTTTCTGAGGAGGTAATATCTCCACTATGACCTGAAGGAAACGAAAATTCTAGCTATGCAAAAAGGGGAATTTGAAAGCACAAAGCCCTTGGACCTGTATGATCTTTGTATCCAAAAATAAAAAGGAAAAAAGACCTTGATCTAATCAGCAAAATGAATAAAGTTAATTAAAAGTAACAGTTGATTTTCTTACTGGTATATCCATATATACGTGGATATAAGCACACATGTTGAGTGAAATTATATGGGTATGGAAAAAAACCATTTATTTTAAATTATTAAGACCTGGGTTAGAAGATACAAGATAAGGATAAAAGAGAGAAGGAGTGTATGCAGGGAAGAAAAGAGACTGCACTGAAAAATATAAAAATATTAATAATAATGTGGTTTCATTAAGCCCAAGCTTAATGAACTATGAATAAATAAGGAAAAGTTAGTTATTTTTATTTCATAAGAAAGATGCAATATTTAAAATAAGAAATTTATGTAACATAAAAGAGAAAAATGAAATGGCCAAAGGGCACCCTTCATTGCTTTGGGTCAAAAGGTATTTCACTACATGCAAGATAAAATACAAAATAAAATATTTCAGCTGAAATGTAATTAGTACTTTTTCATAAAAAATATAATTAATAGCGGTCCTCCACTTCCAATTAACAGGAATAGGATCTACCCTCCTGTCTAAACAACAACAACAAAAATAGCATAGCTACAATAGTTTTCAAGACACTAGACTTCAGTGATGGATCATATTCATGAGAAACAGAAAACAAGAATGATAAACCCTATCATTGCCTCAGTTTATCTCCTTAAGAAAGTTTCCAAGTAGTGGCACATGGAGAGAACACCCAGGTTGAACCTGGAAAAACTCCCCCTGTTGAAAGGATAAAGTTGAGATTTGGGAGAGAAAAAGATCACTAGAGTTCACAAAACAGAGTATCAGAGAGAAAGAGTAATCAAAGAGAAAATTCCAGAGATCAGCAGACAGTGCCTACTAAGTAACCAGGAGAGGGTCGGGCATGGTGGCCAGGCCTGCAGCACTTTGGGAGGCCGTGGACCACCTAAGGTCAGGAGTTCGAGACCAGCCTGACCAATATGGTGAAACCCTGTCTCTACTAAAAGTATGAAAATTAGCCAGGCATGGTGGCATGCACCTGTTGTCCCAGCTACTCAGGAGGCTGAGACAGGAGAATTGCTTGAACCCAGGAGGCAGAGATTGCAGTGAGCCGAGATTGCGTCACTGCACTCCAGCCTGGGCAACAGAGTGAGACTCATTCTCCAAAATAATATCATCATCATCATCATCAACGAATTGAAACTAATCAACAATGGACATAGATATTAGAATTAACAGATAAAGCCATTCAAATAGTATAACTGATCTTGTATGTTAAAAATTTAAGCAGAGACAAAATAGATTTTTCTTAAAAGACTAAAATGTAACTTTTAGAGATGAAAACTGCACTGGTTGCAGTGAAAAATACACTGGCTTGGGAATAATAGTAGATTAAGACTGTGTAGGAACAGCAGGCAAAAACAAAGACAGAGTCCTTCCTCTCTAAGAAGGTTACACAGATGTACTTTCCTCTTCAACTGTGAACTGCAGAGACGTGTGAGATTCCTCCACCCCGGGAAGCTCACTAGAGCCTTGGTATCTAGAGTTGTTGAAAGGAAGTGGGTAATGCAGTGAAGTGACCAGCCACGGTGTAGATCCCAAACCAGGCATGAGGTACAGATCATGAATCTTCATATTTACATTCAACAATGTGAACAAACTGCTCCATCTAGACCCAATGCCCTGGGTCACAAAAGAGAAAACCAGAGAAAGTGTTCACATAGGTCCTACCTGCTTTTTCAAAGTAGAGTCCATGGAATTCTATCCTTAGATGTCAGTGGACTTATTCTTAGAGATCCTCAAGTTCTTCATGAAAATATTTGAATTTTGAACATTAAGTAAATGATAAAAATCTTAATATAAACATATGCAGAATCATATGAATAACCATCTTATAGCAGAGTGCTACCATATAATTTAATGCCTATATTTTCATTTGTATTCATGATCATGATGATTCTTGCAACCAATTAATTTATCACCATTTGCTAGTAAAAAAATTAAAGAGTTAGATCCAATAATATTAAATGGTTCACTAAGTGAATTTCATATAAAATAGGTTTTGCAATAAATTGAATGTAAAATATCACTTTAAAAAATGACTTCTCAAATGGTACTATATGGAAGACAGAAACCAAACCCAAATGATTGTGTACAAATTCTTATTCGATACAATATTCATATTTTGTTTGGTGATATAGATATGGCAAAGCATTATACGTAGCATTAAATTATTGTTACCTTATTTTTATATTTTTATTGTTTTTGCAGCTCTATTTTCCATTTGTAAATCTGTTTTGGATTAAAAATTGCATAAAAAATTTAAACATAAGTTTATTATTTGTACATATTTAACTAATTTATGCAAACAGAAATATACATTTTTCCCTTCAAAAAGGGTACCTACATTACTCAAATTTGAGAAATATTGCTTTATATATGTACCCCAAAATATTTTGTTTTCCATTTTATATTTATAAAATATTTTACTAAAGGTATTTCCTAAACTTTATTTTCAAACATTTAATCTGCAGGCCTTAAAGGCCTATTTTTTTGTGCAGGCAAAGTAAGATGGTTTAGTAGTAATTTATTTATTCTACATCCTAGGATTCAAATTTCAATGCCAAATCAATAGGTCCCGTGGCAGTGAGCGTTTATTCCACATCTAGACTCACCAATGCGTTTTGACAATCTAGAGTGCAGTGGGCCATTACTGAGAAATTTAAAAATCTCATTTACAACCAAATCTGTGATCGTTCTTAAAATACAATGAAAAAATGACTTCTTTAGAGATGAAGTTGACTGTCATCTATTTATATAAAAACATCAGAAGTTTTTAGAAAATACTGAGTTTAAATGGCAAGTGAAGGAAAGGCCAGTAGTGCTTAAAATGGTGTCTTAAATAAAACTTCCTGTTCTTACTCTTACATTCTTCCTTACTAATAGATTTTTATAACATATTTTTCTAGGCCAGGCGCGGTGGCTCATGCCTGTAATACCAGCTCTTTGGGAGGCCAAGGCGGGTGGATCACCTGAGGTCAGGAGTTCAAGACCAGCCTGGCCAACATGGTGAAACCCCTGTCTCTACTAAAAAATAAAAAATAAATAAAAATAGAAAAAAAGCCGGGCATAGTGGTGGGTGCCTATAGTCCCAGCTACCCAAGAGGCTGAGGTGGAGAATCACTTGAACCCAGGAGACGGAGGTTGCAGTGAGCCAAGATTGCACCACTGCAGTCTAGCCTGAGTGACAGAGAGAGACTCTGTCTCAAAAAAAAAAATAAATAAATAAATAAAAAATATATATATATTCTAAATTATTTACTAAGGCTTAAAGAAATAATGTTGCTATGTCTCTGTTTTCCATTTTTATTTTTATTTCTATTCTTGCCCCTTTGTCCTAAAAAAAAGAGGTAAGTCTCACTTTAAGTGACAGGAACAATTGAAGAAGACTTTTCTAGAATTTTAGTAAATAATCAAATGTGGCCTCTAAGCAGGCCTATCCTAGTGGCAACAATTCTACAAATATGTCCTTTTCAAGCTAGTTACTTTTATTGAGACCAGCTGAGGAGAAAAAAAAGGCATAATTTTGACCAATTCTGATAGCATAATTGCTGGGTTATTTCCTAATATCTTAGTTATCAAACACTGGCCCACTGAATGTTAGATTGACAGAAAGCAATATCCTCTCTTTTCAAAAAATACTTTTGAGTGGTTGCCATAATAGACTTGAAAATGGAATTCCTAAAAACAACAGCAAGGAAATCATCTCAAGGAGCTCATCTGAGATGTCAGTCCAGCTCTCAAAAGCTCTATTCTCTGTTGATGACATTAACTTAGGCTATCTATAACTTGTTTCTATCTCTTCCCAGTCTCGTCTGGCCAGTTAATATGTCTTAGGTCTGACACTTCAAGAGTCTTCCGTGTATATAAAATATTGATACATCTTGATTCAGCCAATGGAGCATAAGATTGCTCTTATAGATAGATATATTGCAAGTTTTCAAAAAATTCATGGAACTTCAACAGAATGAAAGACACTATAAATTTTATACAATGAATGAAACATGTTTTCTCAATTCTTTTTATTCTGTATAAAATTTTGTATAACCTACTTCAGATGGTGCCCACACTACAATCATCTATTTTCCACTCTGGTTTCATTTAGCTAGTGGGGAAAGGAATAGAATAGAGCAGAAATATCACTCTTGTATTCATCTGTTAGCAAGAAAATCTGAGACACTTACAAAAGGCATTTTAATCTTTTTTTTCTCCCTTTTTCTTTCTTCATTTCTTTTCTTTCTTTTCTTTAATTTTGACTTGTGACTTCTAACAATACAAAGGGATTTGTTCTTCCATACTTTTTGACTGCCACCCACTTGGAGTAAATAACTGGACGCTTTCAAGAAATATATTTGCTTTCAATGCTATAGGATTCACACTATGTTATGAGATAAAGAAGAATACTATGAGAAATATGAACTGCAATATCAAAGAGGAATTGTTAAACTTAGGAAAAAAAGAAATACTTTTAAAATGTAAAAGCAGACAATATATTGCTCTCCTGTGTTTTCTATTTCATTTATAAGCAGCTTTCACATTTTTTGAATTATTTCATAAAGTAATTAAAATGTGAGAGTATTTCTTCTTATCATGAGTGAGCTAGTTCTGAATTCCTTTCCTGCAGGAACTTTTATTTAACCCTGCTTGACTTGCCACCCTTTCCTGCGGATCATGCTGACTGAGATGAGATCATTGGCTCTTTTTGCATTACTGCTGAGTTGCTTTCTTTCCCATGCTTTTGGCCTAATTGTCACTACTAGATTGGCAGCTCTTTGAGGATCAACATGCTATTTTCTGATTCTCACTAATCTGCTTAGCCCTTTTTTCCATGCCAAGGAACTCTGGAAACTCTAGGGCATGATCCAATGGGTGGTCTTCACAGGCATCCTTTACCTGTCCTGCAAATTCATCACTGCCTAAAAGCAGCTTTCAATCAAGTTGGCGCTCATTGCTTTTCACCCCAGTTTCTACCAATGATGGTGAAACATGTCTCTTTGGTTATAGGTAACAGTGCAAAGCTGATTGGCATTCTTCTAAACCAAGGTCTTAGTATTATGAATGGAGAAATTGGGATGTTTAGAAATGTCAGGAGCTCCTCAGGATGATGATACCTGGTCCAGAGAAACAGCACAATCCACTTCACTACCCCTCATCAAGTGACACTAAAAAGCACTGGATGGCAAGAATGGAAACAACATGTACAATACTGGGTCCTTGAAGAACTTAAAAAATCAGTCTGAAGAGTAGTTTCCATCCGGTGTATTCTAGACTTTGAGACTAGCTTTTTTGATGTATTTAGACAATGCATTCTGGCCTGGAACGCTACGACTGAAATGGCAGAGAACATGCCCAGTGCATTTCTGACCCTCCTGCCTTGGACTAATGAAGCTAGGGTGGTTTTCCCTTTTGCTTTAGACCACAGTTAATTCCTGGAGCAGATAAGCTGGTCCCCAAGGGGTAGAATGAGCCGGTCTACCCTTTTAGCACAGTGTCCATCCTCCACAAATACACTTCATTTGTTCTGTTAGGCAGTTTCTGAACATTTTTTCTCCCTTTCAAAACTAACACTAAAGTGCAAATGTTCTATGAGTTCTAAGTGTTTTCTTTCTATGGTATCTACAATCTATTTAATAGCAGACAGAATTAAAGAAATCAGAGAGTGAGTTATTGTTAAAATTATTGTTGAATTTCAAACATTAGAAATGGACAGCTGAGATATAATGGGCTTTTATAAGTTTTTCAATCATCTCATATTGATATCCTTTCTTTCTTAAGACAAGCCTTTCTTTCCCTTTTCTATTCCAGGCATTTCTAGCTCTATATTAAATAAAAAAATACATGTCTATCATACCTTATCTGAAACCATGGAGCCTGATGTTTTATAGAAGTCAACTTTTTAAAAAAGGTAATGTAATACATAAGCCATATGTATTATAACATAACTAGCAGAGTCTGGAGCAATACCCAGTAATCAAAATAATATTGCAGTGAAAACTGTGCTCACTTGTGCTAAGTGGGATAAACAGGGCTTAAAAATAGCCACAAGTCAATTCAGGTCAGATTTTGCCTCCAGATGAATTTGCATCAAACTTGCAGAAAATAATAATAATTAGATTTCTGAGGTCTTTGGATTTCGAAATTATGGCTAAGAGACAAATTCTCCACCCATTCCACCCCATTTATACTGGCTTCAGAGACTCAGCCAATTCCTAATAGCAGCTGCACAGGCTTTCTTGTTTGGTGATGGGGCTCAGAACTGCCATCTTGGCAAAGTCATCTCAAGTACTGTATCCTTTATGCCAGTCCTCTCCATGACCCTCATCCTCTGGAGCGTGCAGAGCTGCAGATGGTGCCCAGTAACAGTAAATGTAACAGAAAAGAGTAATTCTTCTCCTACCCAGACCCTGTGTATTATAGACTATCATAAAGCTGCCAGTAGATTTCAGAGGCAGCATTTTGCTTCTGTATCCTTCTCTCCCTGCTCTCAGAAAAGGGCAGCTTTCCCTGCAGACCTCAGACTAATAAATATTTCTTTGCCTTTTTGGTAATCCTAGATTAATCAAGAGATAAAAGTCAGAGCTGAGTTTTCACTGATCACCAAAATAACACAGAAAATAAGAAACCAACTTCCCTTGTGTTTATATTCTCACTTCACAGATCTAATCTATTCCTCATGAAAGAATGCTTACAGATGTACCCTATTTTACGAGTAAGTGCATTCCTTTAAGAGTATTTTTTTAAATATACCTAAGGAATATGCTACTCTTACAAGCACCTTAGTAATTTTGTTAAAATAACTAATCTCAATTTAATATTTATATTTACTATAGAGGAAGAAGTATTAGATATAGTTCATAGGTCTGTCTGACTCCTATTCCCATTTCTGCCAGTCACTATCCATTTGTCCTGAGACATGTGTCTCTGATTTCTTACACATCAAATAAGAACATTGAAACAAAGCCTATCTCTAACATTTGTGTTCATAACCTTCTTCAGATGAGCTTCAGTAGGTCTCTGAAACCACTGAGTTGTTAGGCAAAAGTGTGTGAATATGTGTGTGTCTGTGTGTGCACATGCATGCATATAAACATTGGGGTAAAATTGTCATAGCTTTCATAAAATTCTAAAAAGGATGAATTCATTTTGGTTTAAAACTTATTTGATGTTTGAATTTTCAAACATAAGGTTTGCTTAAGATGCATTATACATGCAAATTCATGACAGCTTTAGGTGGATGTTCAATTGTTGAGTCATTAGGGTCCCAGCAAGAAGTTGATGGCACACACATGTGTAGGTCGAGTAAAGGGAAGCAAAAGGAGTAAGGCAGCATCCTAAGACTAGTAATGGGGGAAGAGGGGTTATTACGACTCTTAGACATGATGGCAGAAAGAGAGGGTGCCATTACTACAGTCCCAAGGAGAGAGTCATGATCTTGAATGGAGCAGTGACTTTTGGGCCAGGGTTACAACTATTCTTTATTTTATTTTATTTTTAGTTATACTTTAAGTTCCAGATACATGTGCAGAACATGCAGGTTTGTTACATAGGTATACATGTGCCATGGTGGTTTGCTGTACCTATCAACCTATCATCTACATTAGGTATTCCTCCTAATGATATCACTCCCCTAGCCCACCACCCCCTGACAGGCCTTGGTGTGTGATATTCCACTCCTTGTGTCCATGTGTTCTCATTGATCAATTCCCACTTATGAATGAGAACACGTGGTGTTTGGTTTTCTGTTCCTGTGTTAGTTTGCTGAGAATGATGGTTTCCAGCTTCATCCATGTCCCTGAAAAGGACATGAACTCATCCTTTTTTATGGCTGCATAGGATTCCATGGTGTATATGTGCCACATTTTCTTTATCCAGTCTATCATTGATGGCCATTTGGGTTGGTTCCAAGCCTTGCTATTGTGAACAGTGCTGCAATAAACATGCGTGTACATGTGTCTTTATAGTAGAATGATTTATAATCCTTTGGGTATATACACAGTAATGGGATTGCTGGGTCAAATGATATTTCTGGTTCTGGATCCTTGAGGGAATCACCACACTGTCTTCCACAATGGTTGAACTAATTTACACTCCCACCAACAGCGTAAAACCGTTCCTATTTCTCCACATCCTCTCCAGCATCTGTTGTTTCCTGACTTTTTAATGATCATCATTCTAACTGGTGTGAGATGCTATCTCATCGTGGTTTTGATTTGCATTTTTCTAATGATGAAAAGTGATAATTCCAGTGATGATGAGCATTTTTTCATATGTCTGTTAGCTGTATAAACATTTTCTTTTGAGGAGTGTCTGTTCATAGCCATCACCCACTTTTTGATGGGATTATTCTTTTCTTGTAAATTTGTTTAAGTTCTCTGCACATTCTGGATAATAGCCCTTTGTCAGATGGGTAGATGGCAAAAATTTTCTCCCATTCTGTAGGTTGCCTGTTCACTCTGATGATAGTTTCTTTTGCTGTGATGAAACTCTTTAGTTTAATTAGATCCCATTTGTCTATTTTGGCTTTTGTTGCCATTGCTTTCGGTGTGTTAGTCATGAAGTTCCTGCCCATGCCTATGTCTTGAATGGTATTGCTTAGGTTTTCTTCTAGGATTTTTATGGTTTCAGGTCTTATGTTTAAGTCTTTAATCCATCTTGAGTTAGTTTTTGTATAAGGTGTAAGGAAGGGGTCCAGTTTCAGTTTTCTGCATATTGTCAGTTTTCCCAGCACCATTTATTAAATATGGAATCCTTTCCACATTGCTAGTTTTTGTCAGGTTTGTCAAAGATGAGACGGTTGTAGACGTGTGGTGTTATTTCTGAGGCCTCTGTTCTGTTCCATTGGTCTATATATCTGTTTTGGTACTAGTACCATGCTGTTTTGGTTACGGTAGCCTTGTAGTATAGTTTGAAGTCAGGTAGCATGATGCCTCCAGCTTTGTTCTTTCTGCTTAGGATTTTCCTGGCTATACATGCTCTTTTTTGGTTCCATATGAAATTTAAAATAATTTTTTCTAATTCTGTGAAGACAGTCAGTGGTAGCTTGATGGGGATAGCATTGAGTCATACTTTGGGCAGTATGACCATTTTCACATTATTGATTCTTCCTATCTATGAGCATGGAATGTTTTTCCATTTGTTTGTATCCTCTGTTATTTCCTTGAGCAGTGGTTGGTAGTTCTCCTTGAAGAGGTCCTTCACATCCCTTGAAAGTTGTATTCCTAGGTATTTTATTCTCTTTGTAGCAACTGTGAATGGGAGTTCACTCATGATTTGGCTCTCCGTTTGTCTATTATTGGTGTATAAGAATGCTTATGATTTTTGCACATTGATTTTGTATC
This sequence comes from Homo sapiens, assembly GCF_000001405.40. Lineage (NCBI taxonomy): Eukaryota > Metazoa > Chordata > Mammalia > Primates > Hominidae > Homo > Homo sapiens. The sequence goes on along the minus strand of NC_000018.10, from coordinate 53,641,935 downwards.
CTGAGATGTTGCTGAAGTTGCCTATCAGCTTAAGAGATTTTGGTCTGAGACAGCGGGGTTTTCTAAATATACAATCATGTCATCTGCAGAGACCATTTGACTTCCTCTCTTCCTATTTGAATACACTTTATTTCTTTCTCTTGCCTGATTGCCCTGGCCAGAACTTCCAGTACTATGTTGAATAGGAGTGGCGAGAGAGGGCATCCTTGTCTTGTGCCAGTTTTCAAAGGGAATGCTTCCAGTTTTTGCCCATTCAGTATGATATTGACCATGGGTTTGTCATAAATAGCTTTTATTATTTTGAGATATATTCCATCAATACCTAGTTTATTGAGAGTTTTTAGCATGAAAGGCTGTTGAAATTTGTTGAAGGCCCTTTCTGAATCTATTGAGATAATCATGTGGTTTTTGTCTTTGGTTCTGTTTATGTGATGGATTACATTTACTGATTTGCATATGTTGAACTAGCCTTGCATCCCAGAGATGAAGATGACTTGATTGTGGTGGATAAGCTTTTTGATGTGCTGCTGGATTCGGATTGCCAGTATTTTACTGAGGATTTTCACATCGATGTTCATCAGGGATATTGGCCTAAAATTTTCTTTCTTTCTTTTTTTTTTTTTTTTTGTGCTTCTGCCCGGTTTTGGTATCAGGATGATGCTGGCCTCATAAAATGAGTTAGGGAGGAGTCCCTCCTTTTCTATTGTTTTGGAATAGTTTCAGAAGGAATGGTATCAGCTCCTCTTTGTACCTCTGGTAGAATTCAGCCATGAATCTGTCTGGTCCTGGGCTTTTTTTGGTTGGTAGGCTATTAATTACTGCCTCAATTTCAGAACTTGTTATTGCTCTATTCGAGAATTCGACTTCTTCCTGGTTTAGTCTTGGGAGGGCGTATGTGTCCAGGAATTTATCCATTTCTTCTAGATTTTCTAGTTTCTTTGTGTAGAGGTGTTTATGGTATTCTTTGAGGGTAGTTTGTATTTCTGTAGGATCAGCAGTGATATCTCCTTTATCATTTTTTATTGTGTCTATTTGATTCTTCTCTCTTTTCTTCTTTATTAATCTGGCTAGCAGTCTATCTATTTTGTTAATCTTTTCACAAACCATCTCCTGGATTCATTGCTTTTTCGAGGTTTTCTTTGTGTCTCTGTCTCCTTCAGTTCTGCTCTGATCTTAATTATTTCTTGTCTTCTGCTGGCTTTTGAATTTGTTTGCTCTTGCTTCTCTAGGTCTTTTAATTGTGATGTTAGAGCATCCATTTTAGATCTTTCCCACTTTCTCCTGTGGGCATTTAGTGCTATAAACTTCCCTCTAATCACTACTTTAGCTGTGTCCCAGAGATTCTGGTACATTGTGTCTTTGTTCTCATTGGTTTCAAATAACTTATTTATTTCTGCCTTAATTTTGTTATTTACCCAGTAGTCATTCAGTAGCAGGTTGTTCAGTTTTCATGTAGTTTTGTGGTTTTGAGTGAGTTTCTTTTTCTCTTTTCCTTTTTTTTTTTTTTTTTTTTTTTGAGATGGAGTCTTGCTCAGTCTCCCAGGCTGGAGTGCAGTCACGCAATCTTGGCTCACTGCAAGCTCCACCTCCCAGGTTCAAGCCATTCCCCTGCCTCAGTCTCCCAAGTAGCTGGGACTACAGGTGCCTGCCACCATGCCTGGCTAATTTTTTGTATTTTTAGTAGAGACGGGGTTTCACCGTGTTAGCCAGGATGGTCTCGATCTCCTGACCTCGTGATCTGCCCGCCTTGGCCTCCCAAAGGGATTACAGGCATGAGCCACTGTGCCCGGCCTTGAGTGAATTTCTTAATCCTGAGTTCTAATTTCATTCTTACATGACCCCTCAGAAAGAGAGCTAGAGAAATAAATACTCCATCCCTAAAATCCTGCCTTTCTTGTTTTTTTTCTCTTGTTCTCTGCAATAGCCAAACTCAAACAGAAGACAAGGGCAAAAGAGTCTGTTGATACAGGTCAGGCTCCCTAGACAGAGGAGCATGGCTCTGGCTGGGCAAATGGAAGCTCTCCAGCACAGGACTGTAGAGATTAGATAGAAGCAGCAGGAGCCTGGAGAGAGAATCAGCCTTCTCCCTGCTGTGTGACCCAGAGCTTCTGTGAGACTGTGTTCCTTCATCTATCATGTAAGGGTGATGACATGAACCTGCCTTAGAGAGTTGTTTCCAGAAATGACCAATAAAAATGAAAAAAAAAAACATTGCACAGGCATAAAGTGCCATATGGATGCTTAACATTTGTGGCTATAGGTTTTAAATTCTGTAGGAGGAATGCCAAAAGGAGGGTGGAATGCACACTGGTCTGAGTGGCCCTGAGATGCCAGCTGTGGAGAAAAACAGACTGGCAGCCTCGTGTTTTTTTTCTTTAGGGAGAGAAAACTGGTCCCTTCTATTATTTGGACAATACATATTATGGCTATAGGATACCAGAACAACTGATGGATTCAATGGCAATACCAATAAAAACATAATCACATCAATTATTTACTTTTCCTAATTCTAATATTTCTTTTTTTAACCTATTATATTGTTGATAGTAATGGTTGCCAAGCTAAAATAAAGATTTCTGACCCATAGACATGTAGATTCTTTTTATTTTATTTTATTATTATTATACTTTAAGTTTTAGGGTCATGTGCACAATGTGCAGTTTTGTTACATTTGTATACATGTGCCATGTTGGTGTACTGCACACCAACATGGCACATGTAGATTCTGACTCTGCTTGTGAGGCATAGATCCAGGTAGTTTTATAACAAGCTCCCCCAAGTGAATTTTATGACAGGTTGGTTTGGGGTACGCAATTCAGTAAGACCTGGAGGCTTTACTGTGTCCATTCATTCCTCTGCCATAAAAGGGAATGATCTGGAGAGAAGAAGAAACCAGCAGGAAACGGCTTTACTTGTTAATGCGGTGATTCGGCCTCCTAATGCAAACTACTGGCAGAATCAGTGATCTGACTATTCATTATTTGAAGGTACTAAAAGATTCCCACTTGAACATGCCCATCTCACTTCTTCTGCTACAGATTGGACTTGAGAATTCCCACATGACTTACTCTTTTGCATTAGGCCACTAACACCTCTCGTTCAAAGGTAATCATTACGTACAAGCCAACGTGGCAGATTGGAAAGGGTACTGGACTGGTGGTCAGAAAACCTGATTCTGGGATTTATTGTATTTCTCACACTTTTATTATCTTAAAAAGGAAGCAGAGGACTTGGAAAGAATCTTGTTCTACTATTTTCTCAGCCCTTCAAGGCCTCTGTTGTGATGTTTCTTCAGAATCCTAGTATTTTTCTGCCCACTTTTAGAAAATCATTGCAAAAAGCAACTCTAAATTCTACTCATGTTAAAAAGTCTTTGATTTCGTGTGTGTGTGTGTTTGTGTGTGTATATAAAACTATTAACAATTATGTTTTGAGCCATCAACTCAAAGTAATTTCTTGGGAAATTTAATCATCTAAACACATCCAGAGAAACTAGGTCACTTAATAAAGGTATTTTGATGCAGCATAGGAGGTAGGAAAGGAGGCACAGGCCCGACCGGAGCAAGGAGCTGGATTGAAGAGACCGAGACATCCTGAAAAGGGCAGAATATGAAGGCGTGAAGCTTTTTGTCATGGGGAGGAGTTCTAAGGCGAAATGGGAATAAATAATACATGAATAATGACACTATCAATTATATAATATTACGGACTTCTAAAACCTTCATATCCTTTTCCCTTTTATCTTCATAACAACTCCTCAGTACAGGCAAGGCAAGTTGAATATCTTTAACCTCTACATCAGGGTTTCTCCGTGTCAGTGCTACTGACATTTGAGGCCAGATAATTCTTCCTAGGAAGAGCTGTGCATTGCGGGATGTTTAGCAGCAGCCCTGATTCGTACCCACTAGATGCCAATAGCAACCTCTTCCCCTAACTGTGACAACCAAGAACGACTCCAGACGTTGTCAAATGTCCCTAGTGGCGAAAAACACTCTCAAATGAGAATCCCTGGTCTACATAAAATAACTGACATTCAGGAAGCAATAAGACTTGACCGAAATCACACCGCTGTTATATAATTTGTTCCAAAACCTGGGGTCTTTGCTTGCGCAGTGTGGTTTTAATAGAATAATTTTCTTTTCTTCATATTGTTTAATGGTGTATGTGATCACGGCAACAATTGTATCACCAAACCTTCGATACTTCCATACTCCTTTCAGAAAATAAACTTTTGAGACTTTTTTTTTTTTTGGCTCTTCTCCAGCTTGAAGGAATATTTGCTGTAGAATTGAGCCAAGGACTTTTGGGGGATGCTGGTCTTGACAGTTGATAAATTTATAAAATACATTTTTTGGTCCATTATTAATTCATCTTAATTACTAATTCATTAAGGCAAGATGTGATGTCTCCTGTATATTTTCTCTTTAATATTTTCTGTTGAATCTTTGATAGATATTTAGATAAATTAGCTATTAGTTTATAAAACCTCTTCATGGTAATAAATTTCTAGACTCAGAAACTGATATCATGGTCTATAATTTTGAAACTGATTGGATTGGTATTGGAAAAGGAATTTATTGCTTTGAAGAGTTAAAGGATCGATACACTTGGAATAATGTGTCGGGTAACCATGCCAACACAACTTACATACAAAGCTGGAGGGTAAAATGGTTTTAACATAATTGACAGAAAGATAATTAAGTCAAGTTGTGACAAGATATAAGTCAAGATGATTCATTTGAAGCCCTCTGGTATTTCTTTGGCTGAAAAAGAAATTAGGCTAGCAGAGTAAACATGACATCTAATAGGTAATTCTCTAAACAATGTTTCCCAGAGTATTTCCGTAAGAGGAAATTTTTTCATGTCTCCCCTTTTGCATTTGGGCTTATCCTATCCAATTTCTTCTCAAGGACTGTAAGAAACTCATTTATTTCACATTCAAGAGTTCAAAATGAGTAAATATGCAGGGAAGTCATGGCAATCAGATTCAAACATGATAAAACTGTGATAATTGTTTAACTTTTCTTGGGTGGGCCTTCTTCCTTCTCAGTACCTCTCTCCTTTCTGACTCTTCTTGCTTTTAACATGGCCTTTCATTAATATCAACCACTCCTAGCAAAAATCTCCAGAATGCTTTCCTCAATTGTACCCTATACCAGCAGTTCAAACTGAAGGACTCCTATCCCTGGGAGTATATGGAGACTCTTTTTAGGGGTACCCTGGCATATACAGTTTAAGTGAATCAATTTCCAGTACTTCAGTTTTCATATGTGCTCTTTCCTAAATTTGATTTGCCTAAGGGGTCTGCAATTGAGATGTTAAACAATTGCTATTTTCCACATTCCTTTTCCTCTTTCATCGCACCCATCCAGAATTAACTATAGTCTATTGACACAAGATGCTTTTTAAAAAGAAACTAAATAAAGGGACAATTTAAAATATTGGTTTCTGGGAACTCTCCTTTAATTTCTAGCATATTTTAATAATTAACACTTTAAAATAATTGGATCACTCCTTTAAATATATGTAACAGGATTTAAATACTATAGTAATTTAATACTCATCATCATGCATTTTAAATCAGTGTATGAACAATTTTACTTTTTATTTTTATGCCACAAAATCATATTTTTGTTTTACTTCTTCCACAATATTTTATTCTAATATTTATTTATATTTGAAAGTTGTATTGAACACTTCTCACATCATATTTCCTTTCAATGACTATGTTATCTACCCTCTGTCCCTAAAGCTCTATGATGTTACAAAAAATTCATCTGGATAGAGTTTTATTATAATTATTGTTAATATGTGATTATTGAAAACAAAATGCATTATATATCATACTTTTTAATGCAAAAATAGAATGAATGATAATGAATATGTCTACAAAAAGACTCACACTCTCTAAAATATTTGAAGACATTTATTCTGAGCCAAATATCAATGACCATGTCCTATGACACAGCCCTCAGGATGTCCTGAGAACATGTGCCCAAGGTGGTCGGGGTGCAGCTTGGTTTTACACATTTTAGGGAGGCATGAGACATCAATCAGATACATTTAAGAAACATATTGTTTTGGTCCAGAAAGGTGGGACAATTCAAAGTGTGGTGACAGCTTCCAGGCTATAGGTAAATTTAAACATTTTCTGGTTGACAGTTGGTTGAGTTTGTCTAAAGACCTGGGATCAATAGAAAGGAATGTCTGGGTTGTGATAAGAGGTTGTAAAGACCAAAGTTTTACTACACACATGATTTTATTTTTAATTAATTTTTTCTTATACTTTAAGTTCTAGGGTACATGTGCACAACATGCTGTTTTGTTACATAGGTATACATGCGCCATGTTGGTTTGCTACACCCATCAACTCGTCATTTATATTAGGTATTTCTCCTAATGCTATCCTTCCCCCAGCTCCCCAACCCCCGACAGGCCCCAGTGTGTGATGTTCCCTGCCCTGTGTCCATGTGTTCTCACTATTCAGCTCACACCTATGAGTGAGAAGATGCAGTGTTTGGTATTCTGTCCTTGCGATGGTTTGCTTAGAATGATGGTTTCCAGCTTCATCCATGTCCCTGCAAAGCATGTGAACTCATCCTTTTTTTTTTTTTTTTAAATTATGCTTTAAGTTTTAGGGTACATGTGCACAACGTGCAGGTTTGTTACATATATATACATGTGCCATGTTGGTGTGCTGCACCCATTAACTCGTCATTTAACATTAGGTGTATCTCCTAATGCTATCCCTCCCCCCACCCCACAACAGGCCCTGGTGTGTGATGTTCCCCTTAAGGGGAACTCATCCTTTTTTATTACTGCATAGTATTCCATGGGGTATATATGCCACATTTTCTTAATCCAGTCTATCATTGATGGGCATTTGGGTTGGTTCCAAGTCTTTGCTATTGTGAATAGTGCCACAATAAACATATGTGTGCATGTGTCTTTATAGTAGCATAATTTATAATCCTTTGGTTATACCCAGTAGTGAGATTACTGGGTCAAATGGTATTTCTAGTTCTAGATCCTTGAGGAATCAACACACTGTCTTCCACAGTGGTTTAACTAATTTACACTCCCACCAACAGTGTAAAAGCGTTCCTGTTTCTCCACATCCTCTCCAGCATCTGTTGTTTCCTGACTTTTTAATGATCACCATTCTAACCGGCATGAGATGGTATCTCATTGTAGTATTGATTTGCATTTCTCTGGTGACAAGTGATGAGTGTTTTTTCATATGTCTGTTGGCTGCATAAATGTCTTCTTTTGAAAAGTGTCTGTTCATATCCTTTGCCCACTTTTTGTTGGGGTTGTTTTTTTTCTTGTAAATTTGTTTAAGTTCTTTGTAGCTTCTGGAT